>NC_000003.12:128554058-128705574 GCF_000001405.40 Homo sapiens | reverse complement strand
GATCAATCACAGTATATATTCAGATGCTGTAAAAGAGAATCAAAATACATGTGCAGGTGGACAGTCACTGGCACCTGTAATTCCAGCTACTTGGAGGCTGAGGCAGAAGGATCGCCTGAGCCCAGGAGTTGTTTGGTCTTTTGTTTTTTGTTTGTTTGTTCGATTTTTAAACAAGATCTCACTCTGTCACCCAGGCTGGGGTGCAGTGGCACAATTGCGGTTCACTGCAGGCTTGACCTCCTGGGCTCAAGCGATCCTCCTGCCTCAGCCTCCTGAGTAGCTGGGACTATGTATGAGCCGCAGCACCTGCATCATCATTTTTGTGTTAAAAGCATTAAGTTGGCAAACTTAAACCTTTAGACTGTTCTAGAAACTTTAATACTTTAATACCCTATTTCAATCTCCTTTTTTTGTTTTTTAATAATAAGCCAGGAGCTAAAAGGAATTGGCTCAGACTTTCCTCACCTGTGATAGCAAAGAGATGATCTCTGCCCTCTTAGTCAAGTGTGGGAGACACACATGTAAATATATCATTTAAAAAGGTACACACAAAAAGCTACAGAGGGCCAGAATATGACTTCTTCTCCAGAAGGTAAGAAAAAGCTTGTAAGAAGAGGCAATTCATTCATTTGGTGGAAAAAGCAACAAAGAACATTCTAGATAAAGGGAATGGCTTTGGCTGGGTGTGGTGGCTCACGCGTGTAATCCCAGCATTTTGGGAGGCAGAGATGGGAGGATCGAGTGAGGTCAGGAGTTCAAGACCAGCCTGGCCAACCTGGCAAAACCCCATCTCTACTAAAAATACAAAAATTAGCCAGCCGCAATGGTGTGCGCCTATAATCCCAGCTACTCAGGACACTGAGGCAGGAGAATTGCTTGAACCTGGGAAGCAGAGGTTGCAGTAAGTGGAGATTGCGCCACTGAACTCCAGCTTGGGTGACAGAGCAAGACTCTGCCTCAAAAAAAAAAAAAAAAAGGGAACAGCTTGAGCAAAGGCACTGCGTGGTGGAGGTACCCCAGTGTCTTAATCTGTTTTGTGCTGCTATAACAAAATACCTGAGATTGGGTAACTTATAAGGAACAGAAATTTCTTTTTTCTTTTTCTTTTTTTTTTTGAGACGGAGTCTGGCTCTGTCGCCCAGGCTGGAGTGCAGTGGCGAGATCTCGGCTCACTGCAAGCTCCACCTCCCGGATTCCTGCCACTCTCCTGCCTCCACCTCCCGAGTAGCTGGGACTACAGGTGCCTGCCACCACGCCCGGATAATTTTTTTGTATTTTTAGTAGAGACGGGGTTTCACCGTGTTAGCCAGGATGGTCTGGATCTCCTGACCTCGTGATCCACCCGCCTTGGCCTCCCAAAGTGCTGGGATTACAGGCGTGAGCCACTGCGCCCGGCCCAGAAATTTATTTCTTAAAGATCTGGAAGCTGAGAAGTCCAAGCTTAAGGCTCCAGCAGATCCAGTTGTCTGCTCTCTGCCTCCAAGGTGGTGCCTTGTTGCAGTGTCCTCTGGAGGGAAGGAACACCGTGGCCTCACATGGAGGAAGGCAGAAGGGCAAGAGAGCTGGAGGCTGCTGCAACAAGCCTGTTTTATAAAGGCCTTAATCCCATCCATGAAGGAGGAGCCCCTATGATCTAATCATCTCCTTAAGCTCCCTCCTCTTACTATCACTTCAGTAGCTATTAAGTTTCAACACTTGAATTATGGACGGGACACGTTCAAACCATAGTACCTGACAATTCACCTGAACACAGAGTACATGTGGGTTGGATGAGTGGCTAGAGACCAAGCTGAAGAGGTAGGCTGGGCCCCAGTGTTGGAGAGCAAGATTTTTTTTTTTTTGAGACAGAATTTCACTCTTGTTGTCCAGGCTGGAGTGCAATGGCGCAATCTCGGCTCACTACAACTGCTGCCTCCCGGGTTCAAGCAATTCTCCTACCTCAGCCTCCTGAGTAGCTGGGAATATAGGAGCCCACCACCACACCTGGCTAATTTTTTGTATTTTTAGTAGAGAGGAGGTTTCTCCATGTTGATCAGGCTGGTCTCGAACTCCTGACGACAGGTGATCCGCCCGCCTCAGCCTCCCAAAGTGCTGGGATTACAGGCGTGAGCCACCTCGCCTGGCTGAGGAAGACGTTTTATTTGTTAAACGGTGGTGGGTATGTTAAATTGATTTTTATCATCTATGTCAACCTTTTAGTGTGACTTCTTAAGCTGCAGAGATTAGAGAGCTTAAAAAAAATAATTCACATTTCCCAGACTTTCTTGCAGTTAGAATTCTGGATAAGAGTTAGGTTTACTCCTTAAATGCACTGGTGCATAACATAACAGCTAGGAGATGGGGGCCATTGTTTTGCCGCCCAAGTCCTCACTGCTGGCCAGCACAGCCAGGGAGACACTAGGTTTCAGCATAGGCGAATAGGCCAGTTCTGTTTTGTTCTGGGTGCATTCTTTTTTTTTTTTTTTAATTTGAGACGGAGTTTCACTCTTGGTGCCCAGGCTGGAGTGCAACGGCGCAATCTCGGCTCACTGCAATCTCTGCCTCCTGAGTTCAAGCGATTCTCCTGCCTCAGCCTCCTGAGTCGCTGAGATTACAGGCATGTGCCACCATGCCCAGCTAATTTTATATTTTTAGTAGAGACAGGGTTTCTCCATGTTGGTCAGGCTGGTCTCGAACTCCCGACCTTGGCTGATTCGCCCGCCTCGGCCTCCCAAAGTGCTGGGATTACAGATGTAAGCCACCACGCCCAGCCAAGTTCTGGGCACAATCTTGGAGGTCCACCAGAGCCCCTTTCTTTAGGTCCTCTAAGATTTTGTAAGCATCTAATCACCTGTATTAAATGCCTTTCTGATGAAAATGGCTAGAATGGCATGTCTTCTGTAACTGAGCCCTGATTAATGCAGAAGGTACGTGGTTTGACTGCCCAGCTGAATTCCAGCTAAAACATGGCTCGAATTCAGGCTCTGGCTCACATTTTGGAGAGCCTGTTACGTCCACAAGGCAATGTGGACACCCCCACCAGAAAACTCTTCTGGCCTGGTCTGCTGCAGGTGAAGGCTAGATCATTCCTGAGGGCAAGTTAGGGCAAATATAAAAGCCTTCTCTGTAGGGATCTTGCTTCTGTGACACCATTGGTCCTCTCTTCCACACTTAAAGGTGAGGATTGTACAATCCTGTTCATGACCAGGGTCAACTGTCTGCAACAGTATACCAAACGAGTTAAAACACCTGTCATCACTGAGATTTTGAACCTATTTCCCTATAAACAAAGCTGGAGACTGGAGGAGAGGAAGGGTAGTGGTAGAGGATTCAGAAACAAAGAGGAGGAAGTGAATATAGATGAACATTTTTTTTTATTTTAGCAATCGTCTATTTAAGTAGAGTAGGAAACAATAACCTGTAAAATAAACCCAATTTTCAAGCAGCTTTGCTTCGGACATGCCCATGTTTAAAAAGCAAAGCAGTTAGGGGAAATCTTAGATAAACAATAGCATAATAGAACTGGCATGACGGTATAGCACAGATTTGTGCAGTTATCATTCCAATTTCTGACATTTGGAAAGCCCGCTGCAGGATTACATTAGTCGTCATAACAACCGTAGGCGCTGCTTATTTTGCCTCCACTTTAGAATGGAAACTGTGGGTTAAAGGTTGAAATGACCTGTCAGGATCACGTAACAAGGTTGGGATTTGATCCTGGCCAATGTCTTCTTCACTGCCCTCCTACCCCCCACCTCCTTTGTCTTATATATAGACCCTGGAGCTACCAGGAACAATATCTTTGGAGAAGTGAAAACTCTTCCAGGCCACTTCCTGATGGCTGTGGTCATTTGCCAGATCCCAGTTCCCCTCTGGTGGGCCTGGTCTGTTGCAGAGAGCACTCAGGAAATCTGCCAGGCCCTCCGCCTGAGTCTCCAACCTGGCTGCTTCCTCAATGGTGCAGGTTGGAGGAAAGCAGCTGCATTCAGGTTCCAGGGCAGAGAGGAGAGATGGGCTGGCTGGGTCTCTGCTGCTTTTCCTTGTGCAGTCTCTGGCCTGCAGTCTGCATTCCAGGAAGACAGTACAGAAAGAGCAGCAGTGATGGTGCAGGGGGATGGGGATGCTGCCTGATGACAGGCCGAGTTCTTTCTCAAAAGCCATTGGCCCCAGGACTCAGGCCAATGTTGTATGAAGCAGCATACGAGAGGTGGGTAAGGTCCAAGCCAGCCTTCCTGAGGAGCTAGATGCCACTGGTGTGCCTGATAAGCCAGAGATTTCCATACTTTCCCAGGGTGTGGAATGGGGTACTTCAGAGGCCAGCTAGTTGGGGAGAAGGTCTTCTGGGGGTGGCTGCAGCCCCCTGCTCTTGCTCCCGCCAAAACAACTTCCCTTTTATCTGTTTTAGATACTAAAACCTTTTTGAGAACCATTGCCCTAGCATCTTTTAGGCCCTAAGTTTGAAGAAATGCTCCCCAAGGCCTCATTCAGCCACTGGCTCTGAAGATATCCAGGGCAGAAATGGATGGGCTGGAAGAGAGCAATGGTAAGTATGACAGAGGGATCTGGGAACTAGGTGAGTGAGAGGAGAGTGGATCCCAGAAGCAAACTTTTTACCAAACCCTCTTCCGAGGTGCATCCTTTTCATTCCCCTACTTAGTTAAAAAGCAACAACAGGCCAGGCATGGTGGCTCACACCTGTAATCCCAGCACTTTGGGAGGCTGAGGCGGGCGGATCACGAGGTCAGGAGATCGAGACCATCCTGGGTAACACGGTGAAACCCCGTCTCTACTAAAAATACAAAAAAATTAGCCGGCCGTGTTGGCGGGCGCCTGTAGTCCCAGCTATTCAGGAGGCTGAGGCCGAAGAATGGTGTGAACCCGGGAGGCAGAGCTTGCAGTGAGCTGAGGTTGCACCACTGCACTCCAGCCTGGGCAACAGAGTGAGACTCCGTCTCAAAACAACAACAACAACAACGACAAAACCACCACCACCACCACCAACAAAAAACACAACAACAAAGCATGTTGGAGGCCAGGCTTGGTGGCTCACGCCTGTAATTCTAGCACTTTGGGAAGCTGAGGTAGGTGGATCAGCTGAGGTCAGGAGTTCAAGATCACTCTGGCCAACACGGTGAAACCCCATCTCTACTATAAATACAAAAATCAGCAGGGCCTGGTGGCATGTGCCTGTAGTCCCAGCTACTTGAGAGGTTGAGGCAGGAGAATTGCTTGAACCTGGGAGGCAGAGGTTGCAGTGAGCCGAGATCACACCACTGCACTCCAGCCTGGGCGACAGAGTGAGACTCGGTCTCAAAAAAACAAACAAACAAAAAACACGTTGGTCTCAAAATATGTGTGTACAATTGTGAATTGTAAAATAATAATTTGGCTGGGCGTGGTGGCTCACGCTTGTAATCCCAGCACTTTGGGAGGCCAAGATGGGTGGATCACCTGAGGTCAGGAGTTCAAGACCAGCCTGACCAACATGGTAAAACCCTATCTCTACTACAAATACAAAAATTAGCTGGGCGTGGTGGCGAGCACCTGTAGTCCCAGCTACTTGGGAGGCTGAGACAGGAGAATCACTTGAATCCAGGAGTGGGAGGTTGCAATGAGCTGAGACCGTGTCACCGCACTCCAGCCTGTGTGACAGAGCGAGACTCTGTCTCAAAAAACCAGTAAAATAAAATAAAATAATAACTTTACAGTGGAAAAATCTGGTAGACCCCACCTTAACCAAATGATCACATTTAACATTCGTAATATTGTGCTAAACTACAATCATGAAGCCTGCACGAGTGTCACGTGTTTGTAGTCCCAGCTCCTTGGGAGGCGGAGCCAGGAAGTGTGCTTGAGCCCAGGGGTTCGAGGCAGTAGTGTACGATAGCCACTGCACCCCAGCCTGGGTAGTACAGTGAGACCCTGTCTGGGATACTGAATGTTCTCAACACCAAGCTGTAATCCCAGCTACTCGGAAGGCTGAGGCAGCAGAATCATTTGAACCCGGGAGGCAGAGGTTGCAGTGAGCCATTGCACTCCAGCCTGGGCAACAAGAGCGAAACTCTGTCTCAAAATAATTAATAATAATAATAATAATAAATAAAATATAAATTAAAAATCAAGATTAGAAAAGACAAAGGCTGATAAACTCTTCTGGATTAAGAGACTAAAGAGGTGTGACAACAAAATGCAATGCACCTTAATGGATCTTGGATGGACTAGGCAGGGAAAAGCCACAAAGGATATTGTTGGGACAATTGAACAAACTGAACATGGACTGTGAATTATGTAACGGTATTGTATCTTTTTATTTTATTTTATTTTATTTTTTTGAGACAGAGTCTCACTCTGTCGCCCAGGCTGGAGTGCAGTGGCGTGATCTCGGCTCACTGCAACCTCCGCCTCCCGGGTTCAAGCGATTCTCCTGCCTCAGCCTCCGGAGCAGCTGGGATTACAGACGCGCGCCACCACGCCCGGCTAATTTTTGTATTTTTAGTAGAGACGGGGTTTCTAACAGAATGGCTTTGTTCTTAGGAAATAAACCTTGAAGGTAGGGGTTAAGCAAAAAGATGTCTTTAACCTATCCTCAAGTGGTTCCGGGAGAAAGGGGAAGGTAAAGAAAAAACCTGAGGCGTGTGAGCTGCCCGGGGCTGGAGAGGGGAGGGCGCCGGGAGAAGCTTCTGCAGGCACCCTTAGGCGGCTGGAGCAGCCTCCACCCCGCAGCCTGCGGCCAGCCCTCCCCAAGCGACGCTGGGTCCCCAGCGGGACGGGAATGGCAGCTCAGGCTCCGGGCTGCTGTTGTCGGGGGAAAAACGGCTCGGCGCTGTGGCCGCTCCCAGGGGCCAGGCTGGGCCCTGGTGAGGCAGGCGGGTGGTTGTGGAGGGCAGAGGCTGGGAGCCCGACCCCTGAGGAAAAAGAGACAGCTGGCCTGGGTTGGGGGCGGGGGGTGGTGGGTGGGGTGCCGCGCTGAGGTCCTGGGGGAGGAGGGGGCCAGAACCCCGGGTCAGAAGGAGGCGGCCGGAGATCAGGACCGTGGGTTCTGCGGAAGGAGGAAAGCCGCCAGCCTAGGGTTCCCCTCCGCATTTCTCCCCGCCAAACATCCCGCTCCGCAGGGGGAGGGTCCCAGGCAGGTGGCAGTGGCTGAGCGGGTGAGGAGCCCAGCGGGGCCCGCGTGAGGCACGCAGTTCTAGGTGCCCCGGGAGGCCTGTGGGAGACCCAGGCGGGAAGGCTGCGGTAGCGGGCGGCTGAGCCGTCCCGAATGGAAGTCGCTCACGCAGGAGTGCAGGGGCCAGGGTGGTGGCGTCTGCGTACAGCCTTCTGGGCCCTGGGAAGCCTGTTTGTCACCGAGGCGGGAGCGGGGAAGGGCGTTCTTCCAGCAATTTTTAAAAATGTGATTCGCGGCCGGGCGTGGTGGCTCACGCCTGTAATCCCAGAACTTTGGGAGGCCGAGGCAGGCGGATCACGAGGTCGAGAGTTCGAGACCAACCTGGCCAATATGGCGAAACTCCGTCTCTACTAAAAATATAAAATTAGCTGGGCGTGGTGGCACGAGCCTGTAGTCCCAGCTACCCGGGAGGCTGAGGCAGAAGAATCGTTTGAACCCGGGAGGCGGAGGTTGCAGTGAGCCGAGATCGCGCACTCCAGCCTGGGCGACGAAGCAAGACTCTGTCTCAAAAAAAAAAAAAAAAAAAAAAAAAAAAAGGCCGGGCGCGGTGGTTTACGCCTGTAATCCCAGTACTTTGGAAGGCCGAGGCGGGCAGATCACGGGGTAAGGAGATCGAGACCATCCTGGCCAACATGGTGAAACCCCGTCTCTACTAAAAATACAAAAATTAGCCAGGCATGGTGGCGCGCCGCCTGTAGTCCCAGCTACTCCGGAGGCTGAGGCAGGAGAATTTCTTGAACCCGTGAGACGGAGGTTGCAGTGAGCCGAGATTGGGCCATTGGACTCCAGCCTGGCGACAGAGCGAGACTCTGTCTCAAAAAGAAGAAGAAGAAAAAAAGCGATTTGCTTCAGAATAAATGAGGACAATGAGGACACAGGAAGTCCTGTGTTCTCACAGGCAGTGAAGAAACAAGATTGGCCACTAGTTTATGTTATAGAAGCTGGTGATGTGTTCTTGGAGATTCAGTATTCTATTGTGGTTACTTTTCGTATTTTTTAAATTTTTTATTTTATTTTTTAATTTTATGTAGAGATGGAGTCTCACTTTGTTGCCCAGACTGGTATCTTTAAATTTTTTTTTTTTTTTTTAGACAGAGTCTCGCTCTGTTGCCCAGGCTGGAGTGCAATGGCACGATCTCCACTCACTGCAACCTCCGCCTCCTGGGTTCAAGCGATTCTCCTGCCTCAGACTCCCAAGCAGTTGGGACTCCAGGAGCGTGCCACCACGCCACGCCCGGCTAATTTTTTGTATTTTTAGCAGAGACGGGGTTCCACCACATTAGTCAGGATGGTCTCGATCCCCTGATCTTGTGATCCGCCCGCCTTGGCCTCCCAAAGTGCTGGGATTACAGGCGTGAGCCACCACACCTGGCTAAAATTTTAATTTTTAAAAACGTTTTTTAAAGTTTCTTTTTTATTTTTTGAGACAGGATATCGCTCTTTACCCCAGGCTGGAGTGCAGTGGCCTGATCAGGGTTCACTGCAGCTTCACCCTCCTGGGCTCAAGGGATCCCTCCACCTCAGACCCCATGTAGCTGGGACCACAGGCATGTTCGACCATGCCCAACTAATTTTTTTTTATTTTGTAGAGATGGGGACTCCCTGTGTTGCCTAAGCTAGTCTCGAACTGGGCTCAAGCAATCCTCCTGCCTCGGCCTCCCAAAGTGCTGGAATTACAGGTGTGAGCCACTGCACCTGGCCTGTTTTGTGGGTTTTTTTTTTTTTTTTGAGATGGAATCTTGCTCTGTCACCCAGGCTGGAGTGCAATGGCATGATCCTGACTCACTGCAACCTTTGCCTCCCAGATTCAAGCAATTCTCCTGCCTCAGCCTCCCGAGTAGCTAGGATTAGAGGCACCCACCATCATGCCTGGCTAATGTTTTTATTTTTGTAGAGACAGGGTTTCACCATGTTGGACAGACTGGTCTTGAACTCCTGACCTCAAGTGATCCACCTGCCTTGGCCTCCCAAAGTGCTGGGATTACAGGCGTGAGCCACCGCACCTGGCCTGTTTTGTGATTTTTTGGTAACAGTCATCCCAATTGGTGTGAAGTGATACCTCATTGTGGAATTTTGGTTTGCATTTCCCTAATGATTAGTGATGTTGAATATCTTCTTATGAGCTTTTGGCTATTTGTATTTCTTTTTTGAAGAAATATCTATTCAAGTACTTTGCCTGTTCTTTAAAAAAGATCTAAAAATTGTAGTAAAATACACATAACAAAATTTATAATTTTAACTTTTGTGTGTTTGTGTGTGGTTTTCTTTTCTTTTTTTTCTTTTGTTTTTTTGAGATGGAGTTTTGCTCTTGTTGCCCAAGCTGGAGTGCAATGGCGCGATCTCGGCTCACTGCAACCTCTGCCTCCCGGGTTCAAGCAATTCTCCTGCCTCAGCCTCCCGAGTAGCTGGAATTACAGGATCGCGCCACCACGCCTGGCTAATTTTTTGTTTTTTTAGTAGAAATGGGGTTTCACCATGTTAGCCAGGCTGCTCTCAAACTCCTGACCTCAGGTGATCCACCCGCCTCGGCCTCCCAGAGTGCTGGGATTACAGGCGTGAGCCACCATGCCTGGCTTTTTTTTTTTTTTTTTTTTTTTTTTTTTTTTTTTTTTAAGAGACAGGGTCTTGCTGTGTTGCCCAGGCGGGTCTTGCTGTGTTGCCCAGGCTGGTCTTGAACTCCTGGGCTCAAACAATCTTCCTGCTTCAGCCTCCTGAGTACCTGGAACTAGAGGCATGTGCCACTACACCTGGCTTAACAGTTTTTTTTTTCTTTTGAGACAGAGGCTCGCTTTATTACCCAGGCTGGAGTGCATTGGCGTGATCTCAGCTCACTGCTACTCCCGCCTCCTGGGTTCAAGTGATTCTCCTGCCTCAGCTTCCTGGGTAGGTGGGATTACAGGTGTTTGCCACCACGCCCAGCTAATTTTTGTATTTTTAGTAGAGATGAGGTTTCACCATGTTGGCCACGCTGGTCTCAAACTCCTGACCTCAGGTGATCTGCCTGCTTTGGCCTCCCAAAGTGCTGGGATTACAGATGTGAGCCACTGTGCCCAGCCAACAATGTTTAAGTGTATTGTTTAATGGCATTGTAAGATAATAATAAATATTGGCCTGATGCCGTGGCTTACACCTGTAATCCTAGCACTTTGGGAGGCTGAGGCAGTCAGATCACCTGTGGTTAGGAGTTCAAGACCAGCCTGGCCAACACGGCGAAACCCCATCTCTACTAAAAATACAAAAATTAGGCAGGCATGATGGCTCACGCCTGTAATCCCAGCACTTTGGGAGGCCGAGGCAGGCAGATCACCTGAGGCTAGGAGTTCAGGACCAGCCTGGCCAACATGGTGAAACCCCATCTCTACTAAAAATACAAAATTAGCCAGGGGTGGTGGCACATGCCCATAATCCCAGCTACTCGGGAGGGTGAGGCAGGAGAATTGCTTGAAGCCAGAAGGTAGAGGTTGCAGTGAGCCGATCTGTGACACTGCCCTCCAGCATGGGCCACAAGAGTGAAACTCTGTCTCAAAAAAAAAAAAAAAAAAAATTACACAGGCTTGGTGGTGGGCGCCCGTAATCCCAGCTACTTGGGAGGCTGAGGCAGGGAGAATTGCTTGAACCCAGGAAGCAGAGGTTGCAGTGAGCCGAGATCTCACCAATGCACTCCAGCCTGGGCGACAGAGAGAGACGGTCTCAAAAAATAAAAAAGGGCCAGCTGGGTGCAGTGGCTCATGCCTGTAATCCCAGCACTTTGGGAGGCTGAGGTGGGCGGATCATGAAGTCAGGAGATCGAGACCATCCTGGCTAACACGGTGAAACCCCCTCTCTACTAAAAAATAGAAAAAATTAGCCTGGCTCGGTGGCGTGTGCCCATAGTCTCACCTACTCGGGAGGCTGAGGCAGGAGAATGGCGTGAACCTAGGAGGCGGAGCTTGCAGTGAGCTGAGATTGTGCCACTGCACTCCAGCCTGAGCAACAGAGCAAGACTCCGTCTCAAAAAAAAATAAATAAATAAAATAAAATAAAATAAAAAAGGGCCGGGCACAGTGGCTCATGCCTGTAGTCCCAGTACTTTGGGAGGCCGAGGCAGGCAGATCACGAGGTCAGGAGTTGGAGACCAGCCTGGCCAACATGGTGTAACCCCATCTCTACTAAAAATACAAAAATTAGCGAGGCGTGGTGGCAGGCACCTGTAATCCCAGCAACTTGGGATGCTGAGGCAGGAGAATAGCTTGAACCTGGGAGGCAGAGGTTGCAGTGAGCCGAGACCTCGCTATTGCACTCCACACTGGGCGACAGAGCGAGACTCCATCTCCAAAAACAAAAAAATAAATAATATATATATACACACACATATATATACATACATATATACACACGTATATATGTATATACACATTGGTCTCTGCCCCAGTTGCTGGCACAGAGCCCCTAATACTCATGTAATTTTCTAAGCAGTAGGGGTGCTAAGACAATCTTTTGTTCTAACATTTGGTCTTTGACCCTGGTTCCTGACACAGAGTTCCTAAATCTGTTGGAATTTCCTGGGTGACAGGAGCGGAGCTCTTTTGTTCTAATGAGGGAACTCTTGGCAGATCCCTGATATCCTCAGGATTGGAGCTGGTTGACAAGGGAACCAACCTGTGATTAGATGGTTGGAACTTTCAGCAGCCCCCTGACTTTGGGGAGGAGAGAGAAGCTGAAGGCTGAGTTGATCACCAAAGGCCAATGATTTAGTCAGTTGTGTAGGTCATGAAGCCTCCCTAAAAACCCAAAAGGACAGGGTTCAGAAGAGCTTCCCAACAGCTGAGCACAGGCAGATTCCTGGAGAGGGGCATGCCTAGAGAAGGCATAGAAACTCTGTGCATCTTCCCCACACCTCTTCCTGGGCATCTCGTCCATCTGGCTGTTCATCTGTTTTTTTGTTTGTTTGTTTGCTTGCTTGTGACAGAGTCTCACTCTGTTGCCCAGGCTGCAGTGCAGTGGCACAATTTTGCCTCACCACAACCCCTACCTCCCAGGTTCAAGCGATTCTCATGCCTCAGCCTCCTGAGTAGCTGGGACTACAGGCACATGCCACCATGCCCAGCTAATTTTTATGTTTTTAGTAGAGACGGGGTTTTGCCATGTTGGCCAGGCTGATCTCCAACTCCTGACCTCAGGTGATCTGCCTGCCTCGCTCAGCCTCCCAAAGTGCTGGGATTACAGTGTTCATCTGTATTCTTTGTAATATCCTTTATAAGAAACCAGTATACATCAGTAAGTGGTTCCCTGAGTCTTGTGAGCCACACTAGCCAATTAAATAAATCCTGGGAGCCCCAGTTTATAGCCAATTGGTCAGAAGCACAGACCACGACCCGTGCTTGCAGCATCTGAAGTGGGGGGCAGCCTTGTGGGACTAGAGCCCTCAACCTGTGGGATCTGACACTATCTCCAGGTAGATGGTGTCAGAACTGAACTGGAGGACACCCAGCTGATGTCTACTGGGGAATCCGCAGAATCGATGTTTGGTGTGTGGGGAAATAACCCCCGCATATCTGCTGTTGGCAGTGTTGAGTGACTGGGTAAGAGTAGGAAAAATCACTTAGGTTTGTTCCTCTATCTCACACAGATATTAAGTATGTTCAGATTGCTGTGCAACCCTTGCTTATTTTGAAAATGGGTTTTCTGTTGTTGAGTTTTAGGAGTTCTGCATGCATTCTGGATATTAATCTCTTATCAGATATATGATTCACAAATATTTTCTCCTATTCTGTGTGTTGTGTCAAAAACACAATTTCAACACATTGAGTTTTAAAGATTTGGCTAGATGTGGTATCTCATGCTTGTAATCTCCTTACTTTGGGAGGCCGGGGTGGGGGGATCACCAGAGCCTAGGAGTTTAAGGTTACAGTGAGCTAGGATTGCACTACTGCACTGTAGCCTGGGTGACAGAGCAAGACACTGTCTGTAAAAAAAATAAAGATCTAATTAGCTTTTATTGGTGATTCATGAACTGAGCAACATCCAGCCTACAAAATAGACAGGAGCTCTACCAGGCATGGCAGAGCAGTAGGTTTTTCTAAGGCAGGCAGCTTGACCAGGAACAAGGAAACAGCATAGTGGAAAAAGTGGATTGGTTGGCTGGGCGCGGTGGCTCATGCCTGTAATCCCAGCACTTTGGGAGGCCAAGGAGGGCAGATCACGAGGTCAGGAGATCGAGACCATCCTGGCTAACATGGTGAAACCCCGTCTCTACTAAAAATACAAAAAAAATGAGCCGGGCTTGGTGGCGGGCGCCTGTAGTCCCAGCTACTTGGGAGGCTGAGGCAGGAGAATGGCGTGAACCCGGAAGGCGGAGGTTGCAGTGAGCCGAGATTGCGCCACTGCACTCCAGCCTGGGCTACAGAGCGAGACTCCATCTCAAAAAAAAAAAAAAAGTGGATTGGTTAACATTAGGTTCCTTCGGGTTACTTTCCTTGCATGGCTTAAAGCAGAGGGGACTTCCTTATCAAGCAGCTTAGGTTGAATGGGCCCCTTTTGATTGGTTGCTGTGAATCTATTTTTTTGTAAAACTGACCTATTGGGGATTTGACTGTTGCCTCTCTCCTGATTTCTCAGAAGGTCAGATTTTTTTTTTTTTTTTTAGACAAGAGTTTTGCTCTGTTGCGCAGGCTGGAGTCCAGTGGCACGATCTCAGCTCACGGCAACGTTTGCCTCCTGGGTTCATGCAATTCTCCTGCCTCAGCCTCCCAAGTAGCTGGGATTACAGACATGCACTACCACACCCAGCTAATTTTTGTATTTTTAGTAGAGATGGGGTTTCACCATGTTGGTCAGGCTGGTCTCGAACTCCTGACCTCAAGTGATCCACCCGCCTCGGCCTCCCAAAGTGCTGGGATTACAGGCGTGAGCCACCACGCCCAGCCCTAAGGTCAGATCTTATAAGCAAACAGCTTAGGTTTCAGTTTGGTGACATGGAACCTTAGCATGAGTGACTCCATTTTGGGTCAGCCTGTAGGGGCCTAGTGTAGGAGGAGCTCAGTACAAATCAATGGCCTCCATTTGGCCAGGCACTGTGGCTCACACCTGTAATTCTAGCACTTTCAGGGGCCGAGGTGGGAGGATCCCTTGAGCTCAGGAGTTCAACAATAGCCTGGGCAGTATGATGAAACCTCTTCTCTACAAAAAAATAGTAGTCCCAATTACCGGGGAGGATGAAGTGGTAAGATCGCTTGAGCCCAGGAGGTCAAGACTGCAGTAAGTCATGATGGCATCGCTACACGCCAGCCTGGGCAACAGAGTGAGACCGTGTCTCATAAAACAAACAAACAAAAAAACCAAATCAATGGCCTCCCATAAATATACCAGAACCCTTTGTTTTTCTTTGATGCTGTTCAGGCTCAGAAAATGATACCCCAAAGTATGCTGCTTTAGCATGCTGAGTGCTTTGAACTAAAGGAGACTGAAAGGTTCCAGAAGCAAAGTCTCTCTCTGACCTTCTCCTGCCCTCCTATCTCCCATCCCTCTTTCTCCACTGAAGTGAGAATCAGAACCCTTCTTCCCAAGGCAGGTTGTAGTAACTAGAATCCCACTCCCCCAGAGCTAGCCACAAAACCTAGAAAAGTTACTCTGTCTAGGCTGGGCACGGTGGCTCATTCCTGTAATCCCAGCACTTTGGGAGGCCGAGATGGGCGGATCACCTGAAGTCAGGAGTTCGACACCACCCTGGCCAACATGGTGAAACCCCGTCTCTACTAAAAATACAAAAAAAAAAAAAAAAAAAAAAAGTTGGGCGTGGTGGCACACGCCTGTAGTCCCAGCTACTCAGGAGGCTGAGGCAGGGGAGGTTGAGGCAGGAGAATTGCTTGAACCCAGGAGGCAGAGGTTGCAGTGAGCTGAGATTATGCCACTGCACTCCAGCCTAGATGACAGAACAAGACTGTCTCAAAAAAAAAAAAAAAAGAAAGAAAAAAAAAGCGAGGTTACTCTCCTCTTCTCCCTTGAAGACCCTCATTCCAGAAGAGTCCTGCCGATACCTAGGGCAAAGAAATGCTACACTGAGAGACCAAGAAGAATTTGAACCTTACTGGGTTTCTTCCCCTCAGTGTATTACTATTAGATCACACCCTTTTTGTCCAATCATATTTCTACATGGCTGTCCATTCTTCATTCAACCTAAGCATACAAATAGTTTTCCCTTGGTCTTTAGGTCTTCATTTCCAGAAGCTCCTGTATTGTGTAAAATGTTGTAAATAAGTTTGTTATTATTTTCTCTTGTAATTCTGTCTTTTGTCATAGGCATGTTGGCCATGACCTTTATGATTGGTGAGGAAATGTATCAAAGCTTTCCAACCCTTCAATGCACAAAAGTTAATTTCAATGAGGTCTAATTTGTCTTTTTTTTTGAGACAGAGTCTCACTCTGTAGCCCAAGCTGGAGTGCAGTGATGCAATCTTGGCTCACTGCAACCTCCTCCTCCAGAGCTCAAGCGATTCTCGCCTTGGCCTCCTAAGTAGCTGGGACTACAGGAGCACGCCACCATTCCCAGCTAATTTTTCTGTATTTTTAGTAGAGATGGGGTTTCACCATGTTGCCATGGGTGGTCTCGAACTCCTGAGCCCAGGTGATTCACCCGCCTCAGCCTCCCAAAGTGCGTGAGCCACCACACCCGGCCCCAGTTTGTCTATTTTTCTTTTGTTGCCTGTGCCTGTGGTGTCATAGCCACAAAATCATCACCAAATCCAAAATCATGAAGCTTTCCCTCCATCCTTGCTTCTAAGATTTTTATAGTTTTAGCTCTTATATTTTTTTTTTTTCAGGCGGAGTCTTGCTCTGCTGCCCAGGCTGGAGTGCAGTGGCGCGATTTTGGCTCACTGCAACCTCGGCCTCCTGGGTTCAAGCGATTCTCCTGCCTCAGCCTCCCGAGTAGCTGGGATTATAGGCGCACATCACAACACCTGGCTATTTTTTTTCAGTAGAGACAGAGTTTCACCATGTTGGCCAGGCTGGTCTTGAACTCCTGACCTCAGGTGATCCACCGGCCTCGGCCTCCCATAGTGCTGGGATTACAGGCGTGAACCACCACGCCTAGCCAGCTCTTACTTTTATGTCTTTGAGAGTGTATTGTGTAGTGAAAACACCCTGTAAACCACATCTTTCCTCTACTCTCACATGACAACAATCATCAACATCAAGACTTCTGTGGCCAAATGTGTAGGGGGTTTTCCCCACACATCAAGCAGTGGACACCAGGTAGGTGTCCTCTAATTCAGTTCCGACACTATCTGATAGTGTCAGATCTCACAGGTTGATTGCTCATTCTCCAAGACCACCCTCTCCCCCAACACCAGTGGCAAGTCCAGACCAGAACTCCAGAATCTTTTTTTTTTTTTGAGATGGAGTCTTGCTCTGTCACCCAGGCTGGAGTGTGCAGTGGTGTGATCTCAGCTCACTGCAATCTCCGCCTCCCAGGTTCACGCTGTTCTCCTGCCTCAGCCTCCCGAGTAGCTGGAATTACAGGCGCCTGCCACCACGCCTGGCTAATTTTTGTATTTTTAGTAGAGACGGGGTTTCACCATGTTGGCCAGACTGGTCTCGATCTCCTGACCTCGTGATCTGTCCGCCTTGGCCTCCCAAAGTGCTGGGATTAGAGGTGTGAACCACCGCGCCCGGCCTATCTTGGATTTTTATGGAAGCTTCTTGCCATCAGCATTCCTTCCTCCTTCAGAGTATATATAAGGTGGGACCTTCTCATGGGAGGGTCTGAAGACCCACAATCAGAGAGGTGGAGAACATTAGAGTGGAAGGAGGGCAGGAGAAGGTCAGAGGCCTGCTGTGAGGCCTAACATACCCAGCATTGTAACAAAAGACTGTAACAAACGCTATAGAGTATGCGCCAGGAAACGTGGATCAGTATACATCAAAACACCACATATGTAGATTTTATAACTTATTTGAGTGGTCTTTAAGAAACCTAAATCCAGATATGTCACCCTCTGCTGAGAAGTTTGAAGTTTCTCATCTTTTAAAAATCACTATCCAGGCCAGGCGCAGTGGCTCACGCCTGTAATTCCAATGATTTAGGAGGCTGAGGTGGGAAGACTGTGTAAGCCCAGGAGTTGGAGACCAGCCTGGGCAACATAGTATGACCTCATCTCTAAAAAAAATTAAAACTAAATTTTAAAAAATCACTATCTTGGCCAGGCCTGGTGGCTCATGCCTATAATCCCAGCACTCTGGGAGGCTGACTGGGGCAGATCGCTTGAGCCGAGTTTGAGACCAGCCTGGGCAACATGGTGAAACCCCATCTCTTACTAAAAATACAGGCTGGGCGCAGTGGCTCATACCTGTAATCCCAGCACTTTGGGAGGCCGAGGCGGGTGGATCACAAGGTCAGGAGTTTGAGACCAGCCTGGACAATATGGCGAAACTGTCTCTACTACAAATACAAAAATTAGCTGGGCGTGGTGGCGTGCACCTGTAGTCCCAGCTACTCGGGAGGCTGAGGCAGAAGAATCTTTTGAACTCAGGAGGTGGAGGCTGCAGTGAGCCGAGATCGTGCCATGGCACTCCAGCCTGGGTGACAAAGCGAGAATCTGTCTCAAAAAAAAACAAAAACAAAAACAAAAACATACAAAAAGAATTATCTGGGTATGATGGCACACGCCTGTAGTCTCAGCTACTCAGGAGGCTGAGGTAGGACTGCTTGAGCCTTGGAATCAGAGATTGCAATGAGCCAAGATTGCACCACTGCACTCCAGCCTAGGGCAAATATAGGCCCTGTCTCATAAAAACAAAAAAACAAAACAAAAAACCACTATCTTTTAAAATTATGTATTTATTTTTTCATTTTCCCCCCAAGTAACCTTTATTTTACTTAAATAAATCACTCTCTTTATCCTAGCATACGGGGCTCTACATGATCTAGTTCATACGCCTTCTTTGATTTCATTCAATTTTAGGCATCTGGCCTCATCATGCTCTTCTTCAACCATACCAAGCACATTCCCATGTCGAGGAATTTATACTTGTTCTTTCTGCCAGAAGCACTCTTCTCTTGGGGTCCCAGATCAAGTATCACCAACTCAATGAGGTCTTTTCTGACCATCTTCTCTAAAGTATCAACTGCATCTCTATCCCCTTATCCTGATTTTGTCTTCTTCTTAACATTTACTACCACTTGACGTATTTGTTTGTTCATTGTGTCACCCCAGGAAAATGTAAACTCTGGGAAGGCAAAGATTTTGTTTTGTTTTAAGACAGGGTCTCACTCTGTCACCCTGGCTGGACTGCATTGACTCAATCACGGCTCACTACAGCCTCAACTTCCTAGGCTCAAGCAATCCTTCCACCACAGCTTCCTGAGTAGCTGGGACTATAGGCATGCACCACTGCACCCAGCTAATTTTTTTTCTCTCTTTTGTTTTTTGAGATGGAGTCTCGCTCTGTCACCAGGCTGGAGTGCAGTGGCACGATCTCGGCTCACTGCTACCTCCGCCTCCTGGGTTCAAGCAATTCTCCTGTCTCAGCCTCCGGAGTAGCTGGGACTATAGGCGCGCACCACCATGCCCAGCTAATTTTTGTATTTTTAGGAGAGATAGGGTTTCACCATGTTGGCCAGGATGGCCTCGATCTCTTGACCTCGTGATCCGCCCGCCTCAGCCTCCCTAAGTGCTGTGATTACAGGCGTGAGCCACCACGCCCAGCAATTTTTTTTCTTTGTAAAAAAATATGATAGAGATAGGGTTTCACTCTGTTGCCCAGTTAAACTGCGGTGATGCAATCATAGCTTACTGCAGGTTCAAACTCCTGGGTTCAAGGATCCACCTGGCTCAGCCTCCCCAGTAGCAGGGTAGAAGGGACCACAGGTATGTGCCGCCATGCCTGGCTTTTTGTTTTTATTTTTATTTTTGGTAGAGATGCATCTTGCCATGTTGTCCAGGCTGGTCTCTAACTCCTGAACTCAAAAAAATCCTCCCACCTCCCAAAGTTCTGGGATTACAGGTGTGAGCCACCATGCCTGCTAAGGCAAAGATTTTGACCTCTCTTTCTGTAGTAAGACCTTCAATTTATATCTGAATATATGAACGCGCAGAATAAAGCCTTACATGCTGGCCAGTGGACGAGCAACTTCTTGGTCATACTTTTAAAAATGAGGCAGATGTGGCTGGGCACGGTGGCTCACACCTATAATCCCAGCACTTCGGGAGGCCGAGGCGGGCAGATCACCTGAGGTCGGGAATTCGAGATCAGCCTGATCAATATGGAGAAACCCCCATCTCTACTAAAATACAAAATTAGCCAGGTGTGGTGGCACATGCCTGTAATCCCAGCTACTTGGGAGGCTGAGGCAGGAGAATCACTTGAACCCAGGAGGCAGAGATTGCAGTGAGCTGAGATCTCACCATTGCACTCCAGCCTGGGCAACAAGAGTGAAACTCCGGGGCCAGGCGCAGTGACTCATGCCTGTAATCCCAGCACTGTGGGAAGGTGAGGCGGGTGGATCACGAGGTCAAGAGTTCAAGACCAGCCTGGCCACGATGGTGAAACCGTCTCTACTAAAAGTACAAAAATTAGCTGGGCATAGTGGCGGGTGCCTGGAAGCCCAGCTACTTGGGAGGGTGAGGCAGAGAACTGCTTGAACCCGGGAGGTGGAGGTTGCAGTGAGCTGAAATCATGCCACTGCACTCCAGCCTGGGCGACAGAGCAAGACTCCATCTTAAAAAAAAAAAAAAGAGGGGTATGCCTTTTTTCTTCTCTTCCAGCTTTACACTGGCTGGGATTGGATGTGATGGCAACCAATTTTTAGACTATTTAGGTGATGGCAACTCCTTGGAGGTTACAAAGCAATCAGACAGACAGAACCTGGGTGCCCCACGATTTCTCAAAACAGAGCTGTCAAGAAGCTTGCGGCCGCACGCGGTGGGTCACGCCTGTAATCCCAGCACTTTGGAAGGCCGAGGCAGGCAAATCACCTGCAGTTAGGAAACGTGAATAATGTTGTTTAATGAAATTTTACTGTATCGCTCACCTATCTACTCTCCAATTTGTTCTTCTAACAGAACCCTGATTTGTTCAGGACAACAATGTGCCCAGATAAAGAACTTCATTTCTCAGTGTTCCTTGGAGGGAGAAGTGGCCAAGTAATATAATATGGTTCTAGGTAATGAAGTGTAGGCAGAAGCTACTGGGTGGGGCTTCCTGAAAAGTTCATAAAAACAAGGGCTGACTGAGCTGGCAAGTATGGTTTGCCATTTTCTCTTCCCTTCTACCCTGTCTGAAATGCGGATGTGATAGAGGAGGTAACAGCCATCTTATGACCCTGAGGTGACAAGAATGAGGATGATACCCACAGGGTAAGGATGATTGGGCAAAAGTACAGAAGTAACATTGGCCCAATGGCTCCATGATGTGATTTTACCACTCTGGACTTCTCGATTATGAGAAAATTGAACTCTATGCTTGGCTAAGGCATTTTATGTTGAATTTTATTTTATTTATTTTTATTTATTATTATTTTTTTGAGACAGTCTCGCTCTGTCGCCCAGGCTGGAGCGCAGTGGTGTGATCTCGGCTCACTGCAACCTCCGCCTCCCAGGTTCACATCATTCTCCTGCCTCAGCCTCCCGAGTAGCTGGGACTACAGGTGCCTGACACCACGCCCAGCTAATTTTTTGTATTTTAGGTAGAGACGGGGTTTCACTGGGTTAGCCAGGATGGTCTCAATCTCCTGACCTCGTGATCCGCCTGCCTCGGCCTCTCAAAGTGTTGGGATTACAGGCCTGAGCCACTGCGCCTGGCCTAATGTTGAATTTTCTATCAAAAGACAGAAGGGCTGACCGAGTGCAGTGGCTCATGCATATAATCCCAGCACTCCGGGAGGCCGAAGTGGGCCCAGGAGTTTGAGGCCAGCCTGGCCAACATGGCGAACCCCCAACTCCACCAAAAATACAAAATTAGCCAGGTGTAGGGGGACATGCCTGTAGTCCCAGCTACTTTAGAGGCTGAGACTAGGGAAGGTTGCTTGAGCCCAGGAGGCCAAGGCTGCAGTGAGCCATGATTGCTCCACTGCACTCCAGCCTAGGTGACAGAGCAAGATGTTGTCTTAAAAAAAAAAAAAAAAAAGTATGCAGTAGCCACTTCATATTAAAGTATGAAGATGAGCCTCAGAAACAGTGGTTTATAGGCAACTGTGAAATGAAACAGTGCAGGTGGCTGTTGGCAAAGAGGCATCTCGGCAATAGCCTGCAGACCATATCCGCCTCCTGTGGAGGCCTTGCCTTTTCCCCAACAGAGACAGGAAGCCTGAGGCCCAAGGCTCTGAGGTCCGTGGACCTGCCATCCCTTCAACTTCTCACTGTAGGCTTCCTGTGTTAACTGTCACCCTGCAGCAACCCACTCCTGCCTCTTGACCAGGGAAACTCTTCTGCCTGAGGGCAGTATTAATTAGTTCTTTACCTTTGAGGTTGAGATATTACAGAATTAAACACCACTTATTAAGTGCCTACTGCATACCCTGCACAAAGTGCTTTCCATATATTAATTCTAATTATTATTCTCACAGTGACCCTATGAAACAGGTTTTGTGATTCTCACCTTAGTTATGTGGAGACTGAAACCAAGAAAGGTTAAGTACGGCCAGACATGGTGGCTCACGCCTGTAATCCCAGCACTCTGGGAGGCCAAGATAGGTGGATCACCTGAGGTCAGGAGTTCAAGACCAGCCTGGCCGACATGGTGAAACCCCATCTCTATTAAACATACAAAAATTAGCTTGGTTTGGTGGTGCATACCTGTAATCCTAGCTATTCAGGAGGCTGAGGCAAGAGAATTGCTCCAACCCAGGAGGCAGAGGTTGCAGTGAGCCAAGATTGAGCCACTGCACTCCAGCCTGGGTGACAGAGTGAGACTCTGTCT
Source organism: Homo sapiens (assembly GCF_000001405.40). Taxonomy (NCBI): domain Eukaryota; kingdom Metazoa; phylum Chordata; class Mammalia; order Primates; family Hominidae; genus Homo; species Homo sapiens. The sequence goes on along the minus strand of NC_000003.12, from coordinate 128,683,535 downwards.
CAACACACACACACACACACACACACCACACACACACACACACACACACACAAAAAGAAAAAGGAAAAAAAAGAAAGGTTAATTAACTTACTGTAGGCTCCACAATAAGAATCTAAATTCTTTCCACGTGGCCTCTAAGATGATGAAAATAGTAAGAGCTCTACAGAACTAGCATATTTTTAAGTCCTCAAAAAGTCTCAGAGGCAAAAATGTACTTTATCAAGCAACTGAGGGATTCCCTGAAACAATTATAGCTAATATTTACTGAGCATTTAGTACAGGTAGGTAACTTGGCTAAACTTTTATTAGCATATTTAATGCCTTCAACAACCCAGAGTGCTATGTGTAATTATCCCATGTAAGAATGCCCTCTTGGCCTGGCGAAGTGGCTCACACCTGTAATCCCAGCACTTGGGGAGGCCGAGGGGGGCGGATCACCTGAGATCAGGAATTCCAGACCAGCCTGGCCAACGTGGCGAAACCGCGTCTCTACTAAAAATACAAAATTAGCCAGGCATGGTGGCACACGCCTGTAATCCCAGCTACTCGAGAAGGTGTGGCAAGAGAATCGCTTGAACCTGGGAGGCAGAGGTTGTAGTGAGCCGAGATCGTGCCATTGCACTCCAGCCTGAGCAACAAGAGCAAAACTCTATCTCAAAATAAATAAATAAATAAAATACAAAAATTAGCGGGGTGTGGCCAGGTGCAGTGGCTCACGCCTGTAATCCCAGCACTTTGGGAGGCCGAGGTGGGCGGATCACGAGGTCAGGAGTTCGAGACCAGCCTGGCCAATATGATGAGACCCCATCTCCCTAAAAATACAAAAATTAGCTGGGCGTGGTGGCACGTGCCTGTAGTCCTAGCTACTAGGGAGGCTGAGGCAGAAGAATCGCTTGAACCTGGGAGATGGAGGTTGCAGTGAGCCATGATTATGCCACTACACTCCAGCCTGGGCAACAGAGCAAGACTCCATCTCAAAAAAAAAAAAATTAGCTGGGTGTGGTGGCATGCACCTGTAATCCCAGATACTTGGGAGGTTGAAGCAGGAGAATCACTTGAACCCAGGAGACAGACGTTGCAGTGAGCCGAGATCGCACCATTGCACTCCAGCCTGGGCAACAAGAGTGAAACTCCGTCTCAGGAAAAAAAAAAAAAAAAAAAAAAAAAGAATACCCTCTTCTCCAGTGCCTGGCACACTAGTAAAGGCTCAGTATGGTTGTTGCTTTAGGATGGAGGACTAACACTTCTTTCAAGTTCAAATAGGCGATTTCCAAACTCAATGCCAATTCTGAAACTGCTACTACTTATTTTTCAGGCAGTGGAAACACCTTTCTGGATGATTCTAAGGCAGAACTTGGCTCAAACTCTCAATGTTGCCACTGTTTTCGATATTAACCCGAAAAGCCTAAGATATACCAAAATCAGAAGAAGCCATTGAGACTATGTATGCTTACAGTAGAAAGGCATTCAGCATCAGCAAATAGGTCGAGTGCCTCCTGCTTCCCAGGCCAAATTTTCTGACCCCCCGCCAACAAAAACTAGCTTTCAAGAGGGCTCAGGCTGTCACAATGATTGGCATTCTTTGCTGTAAGTACTACAGTATTGACCTTGAAATTTTTATCCTTGAAAATTGAGTTTCATGAATGTTTATCAAATGTCTTGGTTCCAGGTTAAAAAAGTCTTTTTTTTTCTATGTGCTAGTCTGCCCTTATACCCTTACAAAAGAACTTGTCTTTAAGCCATAATTTAAATATTTACAAAAAATTTAAAATTAACACCTGTCCATGGTACAAAGCTCAGAAAACCCAACGGTCTTAGATGAAAACTGTCTCCTCCCATCCTTGTTCCGTATCTCTCCATTCCCTTCCTTAGGCTGGGCGATCGCTATTACCATTACCGCTATACTATGCTTACACATTCATATCTTCATTTATGTGGGTCTTCTTGTTTAAAAACACAAAGGCATATCTATACACATTTTCCTGTGCTTTGCTTTCTTTCACTTAATTTATCTCAGAGCTGGTTCCACATTAGTACATAAACTGCAGCTTTGCTCTTTTTAACGGTGGCAGGCCATTCCTCTGAAAGATGGCCTGATTTATTTCACCAGTTCCTGGTTTTGCGGCTCAGGATGGGAAAAAGGAAGTCTGAGTGAATCGCGTTGAGGTTACTAGGAATTGCCATGCTGCCCACCTCCCGAAGTGTTAGGAGGTAACATCTCATCGTCTCATCGCACTCCAGTGGAGTGTCGCGAAGTTGCAACTCGGCCCCAAGGCGGCCCGCACTTCCACCCGCACACAAAGGCAGGTCGCAGCCCCGCACGCGGGGACAGGGCCAGCAAGGGGCGGGGACCCTCGGGGCCGCCGCCTCCGCAGCCCCGCGTGTGGGACCCTGGGGCGGGCCGCCATCTTGTGGTGCGGCCGCCGCCTGCCAGGAGACACCTAGCAACTCCGCAGCGGCCATCTTTTACAAGAAACCTTCGCTGCAACCGCTGCGTCACATCACCGCGTCTCCCAGGGACAGGAAAGCCTCTCCGTGTTTGGTGAAGCTTCAGGGGAAGCAGTCATCCTGTCGTCGCATACGGCAAAATCCTCCATTGCCGTAGCCGTTCGGCTGACGTGACAAGGGAGGTGCAGGCCAACACGGCGACTCCGCGCCCTCTGGCGGCAGTGCCGGAGCAGCGGCGCTGTCTTTGACCTATCCGGCATTCGGCTTCCGGGACCGCTTGGCGGCTGTGAATGCAGAGCTGGGGCGACGTGGGGCTCGCTTCCTGGGACTGGGTGTGAGCTTGCGCAGTGAGCCATATGGGGGTCATGGCCTGGCGTGGGGGCGTGGCCGGGTGGGGCCGCTGGATTTGGTGCTGGAAAGCTAGGGAAGTAGTCGTGCGTTTAAGAACGGCCGGCCGGCGGGGTGGCTCAAGCATGTAATCCCAGCACTTTGGGAGGCCGAGGCGGGCGGACCACGAGGTCAGGGGTTCGAGACCAGCCTGGCCAACATGGCGAAACCCCGTCTCTACTAAAAATACAAAAATTAGCCAGCGTGGTGGCGTCTGTAGTCCCAGCTACTTGGAAGCCTGAGGCAGGAGAATTGCTTGAACCCAGGAGGCAGAGGTTGCAGTGAGCCGAGATCGTGCCACTTCACTCCAGCCTGTGCAACAGAGGGACACTCGTCCCCCCCCAAAAAAAAGCCCGGGCTGGGTGGCTTACACCTGTAATCCCAGTACTTTGGGAGGCCGAGGCAGGCGGATCATCTGAGGTCGGGAGTTCGAGACCAGCTTCATCAACATGGAGAACTCACCCATCTCTACTAAAAATACAAAATTAGCTGGGCATGATGGCGCATGCCTGTAATCCCAGCTACTCAGGAGGCTGAGGCAGGAGAATTGCTTGAACCCAGGAGGTGGAGGTTGCGGTGAGCTGAGATTGCACCATTGCACTCCAGCCTGGGCAGCAAGAGTGAAACTTTGTCTCTCTCTCTCTTTCTGTCTCTGGCACATACACACACACACGCACACACACGGGCCTCCTGTGGTCTCACTTGGTCCTCTTTGTGACAGTGCCATTGTTACCATTTACAGAGGAGGAACTGAAGCTCATGGTTGAGCCTCTCACTTGCCCACTTTGCCAAACCCTGGTAGGGATGGGATTAGAGGCTCCTTTTCTTTCGTGAAATGAGACAACGATCTGGGGGATCGTTGGAAGGATTAAAATGAGTATTCAGATTACAATGCTGGATTCTTAATAGTGTCCTCTGTTAATAATAATAATAATGTAGTAGCAACAGTCACGTAGTCTTTACAGTCACAGGTGCATGTGTGTAGATGGGGTTCTCTCTGTATTAGCCAGGCTGGTCTCCAACTCCTGGCCTCAGGCTATCTTCGCACCTCTGCCTCCCTTAGTGCTGGTATTACAGATGTGAGCCACTACACCAGCCTGCAGTTTTTACTACAACTCTGTGAGGTGATTAGTACTAGCATTCCCATTTGACAAATAAGGACAGTGAAGAAAGCAGAAGTAACTTGGCCAAGGTCACAGAACAGCCATAGCAATTCCTGGGTGGTGTGGAGTGGAAGGCTCTGGCCTTAACTGCTACACATTGTCTCTGGTAACAAGGCCCTGCCTGAAGTATATTCCGGCTTCTAGAGGTTGCAAGGAAATGGACCACTCATCAGTTCTTGCAGCCTCCTTATGATCTACAGTGGGACTTCGCAAAGGCAGGCCTAGTAGGAAAACAAAGAGAAGAGGGTTGGAAGAAGGGAAGGATTGGGGCTCAGAAATTATGAGGGAATGGACTAGAAAGGATAGAAACAAAGCTCTTGGGCAGGTGCAGTGGCTCACACCTGTAATCCCAGCACTTTGGGAGGGCAAGATGGGAGAATCAATTGAGGTCAGAAGTTCTAGGCCAGCCTGGCCAACATGGTGAAACCCCATCTCTACTAAAAATACAAAAAAAGAAAAAAGAAAAAAGAAAAAATGGGTCGGGAGCAGTGGCTCACACCTGTAATCCCAGCACTTTGGGAGGCTGAGGCGGGCGGATTACCTGAGGTCAGGAGTTTTATACCAGCCTGGCCAACATGGAGAAACCCCATCTCTACTAAAAATACAAAATTAGCCGGCCATGGTGGTGCATGCCTGTAATCCCAGCTACTCAGGAGGCTGAGTCAGGAGAATCACTTGAACCCAGGAGGTGGAGGTTGCAGTGAGCTGAGATTGCGCCATTGCACTCCAGCCTGGACAACAAGAGTAAAACTCCATCTAAAAAAAAAAAAAAAAATTAGCTGTGCTTAGTGGCACATACCTGTAATCCCAGTTACTCAGGAGGCTGAGGCAGGAGAATCGCTTGAACTAGGGGGATGGAGGTTGCAGTGAGCTGAGATCGTGCTACTCCACTCCAGCCTGGGCGACAGAGCCAGACTCTGTCTCAAAAAACAAAACAAAACAAAACAAAAATTAACTGGGCATGGTGTTGCAGGCCTGTAATCCCAGCTAATTTGGAGGCTGAGGCAGGAAAATTGCTTGAACCCGGGAGGTGGAGGTTGCAGTGAGCCGAGATCCTGCCACTGTACTCCAACGTGGGTGGCAGAGCGAGACTCCGTCTCAAAAAAAAAAAAAAGAAACAAAGCTTTTGTCCCCATCTCCACCAGAAGTGAAGAAAAGAATGGCTTCCAGCTTGAGGAATGGGGAATGGGGATGATGGTACTACACTACTACTACTACTATTAAATACTACTGCTACTGCTACAACACTACACATTCATATCTATTCTTAGAAGGTATTAATCCCAGAAATTCAGGTTGAGGTTGGGAAAAGTAGGTTCCTTATCCTTGGGAATCTGTTTACTTACCTATAAAACCAGAGTGTAGTAAATAGGAATCCCTGTCCTGGCTGCCTAGCCAGGTTGTTAGGAGGAAAGAGAGATTTGGTGTCCTATACTAGCATTCAGAATGACTTGTGATGGGACACTGTTTGCAAGGCTGGGGAAAGCAGGCTGTGATACCTACAAGTGGGAGTGTACATTTTTACAACTCCATGAGGAGGCAAGCTGGCATATCTGTTAATGTAACATTAATCCTTTGTACCAATCCTTTGATTAAGCACTTCAGGGCCAAGGAAACTATCTTACATATGTATTCCCCCATGTGCACAGACAAACGTAGAAAGAGGTACAGTTGAGGGCTGTTTGAATGGCAAAAGCATGGAAGCAAACTAATTGTTCATAAATAGGGGACTGGCTTGATTTTTGAAAAATGACACATCAAGCCTGAGCAACATGGTGAAACGCTGTCTCTACAAAAAATACAAAAATGAGCTGGGCGTGGTGGCAGGCACCTGTAGTCCCAGCTACTCAGGAGGCTGAGGCAGGAGGATCACTTGAGCTGCAGAGGCAGAGGTTGCAGTGAGTGGAGATCGCACTACTGCACTCCAACCTGGGTGACAGAGTGACACCACATCTCAAAAAAAAAAAAAAGACACATTTGTTTAACAGGAATTCTATGCAGCCCCTCCTACAAAATAAAGTAGTACTGTTGTAGAATAAGCTCCAAGATTTATCACATATAATTATAATTATGACTGTGGCTGCAAATAACAATGTAGCCTTCTATAGTGCAAATAACAATGCAAATTACATTGCAAATAACAATGTAGCCTTCTATAGTGGCTTAAACAGACAAGGGTTAATCTGTCTCAAGCAATAAGTAGCAATAAGGGCAGGCACATCTGAGTCTTGTATGGGGCATTGGTGTGTTGTCAGGAATGCAGACTCTTTTTCTTTTTAAAATTTCAAAAGCCTTAAGAAGGTCACAGTGGCACATGCCTGTAGTCCCAGCTACTCAGAAGGCTGAGGCAGGAGGATCGCTTGAGCCCAGGAGTTCCAGGCTGTAATGAGCCATGATCATGCCTGTGAATAGCCACTGCACTCCAGCCTGGGCAACATAGCAAGACCTCATTTCTAAAACAACTTTTTTTAAAATTTAAAAACTTTTTGCCTCATTTCACCAGATCCCTGGCTTGGGGAGCCTTCCTTCCCCATGGTGGGACACCTGGCTTTGGATTTCACCTTCTTGCCCCTTCCAGGTGGTGGAGGTAATGGGTCAGCGGGGCGGGAGCTGGACTTGGCTAAGCTTCCAAGGCAGGAATTGGGCCGGGTGTTGGGCCAGGCTCTGAGATGTGGGGGTTTCTCCCGTGCCCCCCACTGCATGAGTTCCGTGGGCAGATGGTATACTCTGGGTCTCCGGTTGCAGTGGGGCTAGTGCCCCAAGGTGGCTTGAAGACCTCTCAGCCTGAGGGCGAGGCAGGAGCCTGGGTGGAGAGCAACTGTGAGGGGCCTCCCTGGAGCCTTGCACTGCCCCAGCTGGTGCCATGAAGCTAGAGAAGGAGAAGCTGGAGCAAAACCTCAACGAGTCCCAGGACATCAAAGCTCTGTAATTTGCCAAGCTCCTGAAGCAGAAGAGGATCACCCTGGGATATATCCAGGCCCGTGTGGGGCTCACCCTGGGGGCTCTTTTTTTAAATGTTTATTTATTTGTTTATTTATTTTTGAGACAGGGTCTCACTCTGTTGCCCAGGCTGGAGTGCAGTGGCGTGACCTTCGCTCACCACAACCTCTTGTTGTGCCCAGGGGTGTTAGAGAGAACGCCACACTTTGAGACGATTTAAGAGTCCTTTATTAAGCCGGCGGCCAAAGAGACGGCTAACGCTCAAAATTCTCTTGGCCCCGAGGAAGGGGGTTGATTAACTTTTATACCTAGGTTTAGGAAGGGGAGGGGAACTCAAATGCAATAATTCTACAGAAGTAAAAACATGCAAGAATAAAAAAAAAATGGTTACAAAGAGATAAACAATTTAAAAGACAAATGGTTACAAGAAGAGCAACGGTACCAGGTGCAAGGCTTTAAACCTTTATTATAATTAGATATAGGGGGTATGCCGGACAGGAACTCAAGGCTTTATGTTGTTATCTCTTTGAGAAAAATCCTGGGAACTTCATACATTGTTGGTGCTAGTACCTTATCAGTTAATTGGGCTACTTTGAAATGCTGAGGATCTGCTTACACAGGTTAACTCCTTGCGGAAGGGGGTTGGGTAAGGAGCCCTTAGTATCTTGTAAATTAAGGGGTCAATTGGAGTTTGTCTGGCTTTCCCAGCTAGAGAGAGTCTTATTTACATGAGAAGCAAGGCTAGGTGATTAAAGAGACAAGCAGGATAAAATTCAAAGTAACGAGTTAGAGTAAAAACAAGGTTAGGCGTTTCACTCTGCCTCCTGGGTTCAAGCGATTCTCGTGCCTCAGCCTCCCAAGTAGCTGGGATTACATGCATGTGCCACTATGCCCAGCTAATTTTTGTATTTTTAGTAGAGACGGGGTTTCTCCATGTTACAGGCCAGGCTGGTCTTGAACTTCTGACTTCCCACCTTGGCCTCCCAAAGTGCTAGGATTACAGAAGTGAGTCACCATGCCCAGCCTCTGGGGGGTTCTATTTGGGAAGGTGTTCAGCCAAATGACCATCAGCTGCTTTGAGGCTCTGCAGCTCAGTTTCAAGAACATGTGTAAGCTGCCTCCCTTGCTGCAGAAGTGGGTGGAGGAAGCAGCCAACAATGAAGAGCTTCAGGAGATATGCAAAGCAGAGACCCTCAGGCAGGCCGAAAGAACAAGAACCCGGGCCAGTCGCGGTGGCTCACACCTGTAATCCCAGCACTTTGGGAGGCCGAGGCGGGAGGATCACGAAGTCAGGAGATCGAGACCATCCTGGCTGACAAAGTGAAACCCTGTCTCTACTAAAAATACAAAAAAAAATTAGCCGGGTGTGGTCACGGGCACCTGTAGTCCCAGCTACTCAGGAGGCTGAGGCGGGAGAATTGCCTGAACCCGGAAGGCGGAGCTTGCAGTGAGCAGAGATCGCGCCACTGCACTCCAGCCTGGGCGACAGAGCGAGACTCCATCTCAAAAAAAAAAAAAAAAAAAAAAAGAAGAAGAACCGAGTGAGAGGCAAGCTGGAGAACTTGTTCCTGCAGTGCCTGAAACCCACACTACAGCAGATTAGCCACATTGCCCAGCAGATCAGCCACATCAGCCAGTGCGCCCACAAACCCACACTGCAGCAGATCTCCAGGTTGGGCTGGAGAGGATGTGGCCCCAGTGTGGTTCTGTAACTGGCGCCAGAAGGGTAAGTGATGAAGCAATGACTATGCACTACGAGAGGATTTTCAGGCTGCTGGGTCTCCCTTATCAGGGGGCCAGTGTTCTTTCCTCCGGCCCCAGGGCCCCATTTTGATACCCCAGGCTATGGGAGCCCCCACTTCACTATGCTGCGAGGGGAAGCCTTTACCCCGTCTCTGTTGCCACTTGGCCCTGCCATGAATTGAAACTGAGGTGCCTGCCCTTCTAGGAATGGGGGACAGAGGAAGGGAAGAAGCTAGGGGAGGAGAACCTGGAGTTTGTGCCAGGGCTTTTGGGCTTAAGTTCCTCATTCACTAAGGAAGGAATTGGGCACACAAAGGGTGGGGGCAGGGGATTTTGGGACAACTGGTTGGAGGGAAGGTGAAGTTCAATGATGCTTTTGCTTTTAATCCCTACATCATGTATCACTTTGTTCTTAAAGAAACCTGGGACACAGTAAAAAATAAATAAAATAAGGCCGGGCGTGGTGGCTCACGCCTGTAATCCCAGCACTGTGGGAGGCCGAAATGGGCAGATCACGAGGTCAAAAGATTGAGATCATTCTGGCCAATATGGTGAAATCCCATCTCTACTAAAAATACAAAAATTAGCTGGGCGTGGTGCCACGTGCCTGTAGTCCCAGCTACTCAGGAGGCTGCGACAGGAGAATCACTTGAACCCAGGAAGCAGAGGTTGAGTGAGCCAAGATTGTGCCACTGCACTCCAGCGCGGTGGCTCATGCCTGTAATCCCAGCACTTTGGGAGGCCAAGGTGGGAAGATCACCTGAGGCCAGGAGTTCAAGACCAGCCTGGCCAACATGGTGAAACCCTATCTCTACAAAAAATACAAAATATTGGCCGAGTATAATGGTGCAAGCCTGTAGGCCCAGCTACTAAGGAGGCTGAGGCAGGAGAATTGCTTGAACCTGGGAGGCGGAGGTTGCGGTGAGCCGAGATCACGCCATTGCACTCCAGCCTGGGCAACAAGAGCTAGACTCTGTCTCAAAAAAAAAAAAAAAAAAAAAAAAAATGTGATGCCCTGTTAGAAGCCAGAGACCACTATGCTGCCTTAGGTGGGGTGAATAGGCCCACGTCAGAAATGGAGCAGGTCAAAACTCCTGTGCTGATCAGTAGTGGGATAGTGCCTATGAATCACCACTGCACTCCAGCCTGGGCAACATAGTGAGATTCTGTCTCAAAACAAAAGTTAGCTAGCTGGGCACAGTGGCTTATGCCTATAATCCCAGCATTTTGGGAGGCTGAGGCAGGAGGATCACTTGAGCCTAGGAGTTTGAGACCAACCTGGGCAACATGGTGAAACCCCATCTCTACAAAAAATACAAAAATTAGCTGGGCACAGTGGCTCACGCCTGTAATCCCAGCACTTTGGGAAGCCGAGGTGGGCGGATCACTTGAGGTCAGGAGTTCGAGACTAGCTTGGCAAACGTGGTGAAACCTCCTCTCTACTAAAAATACAAAAATTAGCTGGACGTGGTGGCATGTGTCTGTAATCCCAGCTACTCAGGAGGCTGAGGCAGGAGAATCGCTTGAACCTGGGAGGCGGAGGTTGCAGTGAGCTTAGATCACACCACTGCATCCAGCCTTGGCGACAGAGCAAGACTCTGTCTCAAAAACAAACAAACAAACAACAAAAACAACTATATATATATATATATAGATATATATGTAGCTGGGTGTGGTGGCATGCACCTGTAGTCCCAGCTACTGGGGAGGCTGAGGTGGGAGGATCTTGTGAGCCTGGAAGCTGGAGGTTGCAATGAGTGCCCCTGCACTCCAGCCTGGGTGACAGAGCGAGACCTTGTCTCAAAAAAAAAAAAAAAAAAAAAGTGGGCTAAAGACCTTAATAGACACCTTAGCAAAGAAGGTCTACAGACAGCAAATCAAGCAGAAGAAAGATCCTTCCTATCATCTATCATCAGGGGAATGCAAATTAAAACAATGAGATACCACTGGACACCTATTAGAATGGCCCAAGTGCTGACGAGGATGTGGAGCAACATTAACTCTCATTCATTGTTGATGGGAATGTAAAATGGCACAGCCACTTTGGAAGACAGTTTGGCAGTTTCATACTGAACTAAACATACCCTTACCATACAATTCATACAATTGTACTCCTTGGTATTCACCCAAAGGAGTTGAAAATTTGTGTCACACAAAAACCTGCACATGGATGTGTATTCATTTATTCATAATTGCCAAAACTTGGAAGCAACCAAGATGTCTTTCAGTAGGTGAATGGATAAGTTCCTGTGGAAAATCCAATGTAATGTTATTTAGTGCTAAAAACAAAAGACATAGAAGCATTTTTTTTTTTTTTAGACAGGGTCTTGCTCTGTCACCCAAGCTGGAGTGCAGTGGTGCCATGACATCTCACTGCAGCCTCAACCTCCTGGACACAAGCAGTCCTTCTGGTTCAACCTCCCAAGTAGCTGGGACTACAGATTTGCCACCATGCCCACATAATTTAAAAAAAAAAATTTTTTGGTAGAAACTGGGCCTCACTATCTTGCCCAGGTTAGTCTTGAACTCCTGGGTTCAAGAAATCTCCCCACCTCAGTCTCCCAAAGTGCTGGGATTACAAGCGTGGACCACCACTCCTGACCAAGGAAACTTAAGTGCACATTACTAAGTGAAAGAAGACAATCTGAAAAGCCTACATAATGTATTATTCCAACTATATGACATTCTGGAAATGGCATAAATTATGGGGACAGTAAAATATCAGTGGGCCGGGCGTGGTGGCTCATGCCTGTAATCCTAGCACTTTGGGAGGCCAAGGTGGGTGGATCACCTGAGGTCAGGAGTTTGAGACCAGCCTGGCCAACATGGCAAAACTCCATCTCTAGTAAAAATACAAAAATTAGCTGGGCGTGGTGGCACACACCTGTAATCCCAGTTACTCGAGAGGCTAAAGAAGGAAAATCCCTTGAACCCAGGTGGTGGAGGCTGCAGTGAGCCGAGATCGCACCACTGCACTCCGGCCTGTGGGACAGGAGGGAGACTATCTCAAAAAAAAAAAAAAAAGATCAGTGGCTTCCGGGGGCTAAAGCGAGGTGAGGTGGAAGAATGGATGAATAGGCAGAACACAGAGGACTTTTAGGGCAGTGAAAATACTGTGTAATGCTAAAATGGTGGACGATGTATGTCATTATACATTTGTCCAAACCCATAGACTGTCCAACACCAGGACTGAGCCTCATGCAAACTATGGACTCAGTGATCAATGATATGCCCGGGTGGGGTCATCCACTGTGACAAATGCACCACTCTGCTGGGGATATGGACAGTGGGGAAGGCTGTGCATGCGTGGGGGCAGGAGGCATATGAGAACTCTCTGTACCTTCTGTTCAATTTTACTGTGAATCTAATACTGCTCTTAAAAAATAAAGGCTTTAAAATGCAAATGTTAGCTTTACAGTCACATGATGTGGAGGAAGCCAGTCATATCACGTGAGTAAAATGACATGACAGTATGAGGGAAGAGGTGGAGGGGAAATATGATTGGGAGAGTACGCAAGTCACAGCCACCTCTGACATGGGCAGGCAGAAGGAGATATACACACAGCACATACACAGTGAGCTCAGAGGTCATCATGTTTGGCCAGGGGTGGTGGCTCATGCCTGTAATCCCAGCACTTTGGGAGGCTGAGGCGGGTGGATCGCCTGAGGTCAGGAGATAGAGACCATCCTGGCCAACATAGTGAAACCTTGTCTCTACTAAAAAAAAAAAAAAAAAAAAAGCCGGGCGTGGTGGCGGCCGCCTGTAATCCTAGCAACTTGGGAGGCTGAGGCATGAGAATCCCTTCAACCCAGGAGGCAGAGGTTGCAGTGAGCCGAGATCACACCACTGCACTTCAGCCTGGCGAAAGAGTGAGACTTTGTCTCAAAAAAAAAAAAAAAAAAAAAAAAAAGAAGAGATCATCATGTTCTGAGTTATTGGTAAAAATAGAAATAAAACCCATTTATGTAATTTTAAGGTTCTTTTTTTTTTTTTTTGAGATGGAGTTTCGCTCTGTTGCCCAGGCTGGAGTATAGTGGCGCAATCTCAGCTCACTACAACCTCTGCCTCCTGGGTTCAAGCAATCCTCCTGCCTCAGCCTCCTGAGTAGCTGGGACTACAGGCATATGCCACCACGCCCGGCTAATTTTTTGTATTTTTAGTAGAGACGGGGATTCACCATGTTGCCCAGGCTGGTCTTGAACTCCTGACCTCAGGTGATCGGCCCGCCTCAGCCTCCCAAAGTGCTGGGATTACAGGTGTGAGCCACCGCGCCAGGCTCAATGGAAAACGTTTTTCTAAAAAGAAGTGTTCTTATTTGAAGAAAAATAGCCAGGTGCAGTGGCTCAAGCCTGTAATCCCAGCACTTTGGGAGGCCAAGGCGGGCGGATCACGAGGTCAGGAGATCGAGACCAGCCTGGCTAACACAGTGAAACCCCGTCTCTACTAAAAATATAAAAAAAAATTAGCCGGGTGTGGTGGCGGGCGCCTGTAGTCCCAGCTACTCAGGAGGCTGAGGCAGGAGAATGGCATGAACCCAGGAGGTGGAGGTTGCAGTGAGCCAAGATCGCGCCACTGCACTCCAGCCTGGGCAACAGAGCAAGACTCCATCTCAAAATAAATAAATAAATAAATAATAAATAAAATAATTTTTGTCTAATTCAAAGGTTATTTAAAGATTATTTATGAAATGAAGTAAAAGAAATGAGTAAATAGGGGACATATAAAGAAAGTATGAACCAAAAAGTATTTGAGACAAGTCTCAATCAATTTAGAAGTTTATTTTGCTAAGCTTAAGGACACAGGAGACAGGTCTGTGTATTTCTCCAAAGATGAGTTTGGATTCCAAGTCTGGCATACTTTTAAGTGTTACATCAGGAGTGTCTAACAACAAAGCCTGATATTTCCGTAAGTGTCCTCGTCATCCACTGGTGTCCTTTAGCTTCTAGGACTCCTTGTACTTGGTGTGGGGTTAAAACCTCCAGATGTTGTCCTAAAGCCAGTTTATTGGTTTCATCTACTAAAAGAGCAGTTGCTGCAACTGTCCTGAAGCATCCAGGCCTGATAAGAAAGGTGTGTGAGGAAACCAAAGTCCCTGAAGAACAGCTTAGATGATAGGTAAAATGCTCTCTATGGGCTTGTCCATCTACCCTGTGATCATACAGTTTTGGGGTGACAGAGGCCCATTATAATGGGACAAAACAGAATAAGCAGCCCAGAAGGAAGTTAATATTCTTACCTGCCAAAGTCAAGGGTTCCCAAGGCTCCTCCAGAGATATGGCTAGTTGTCTGATGGGAGCTGTGGCGGAAGGTTTTGGCCCTGTCACTCCTGGACTTGCCTGGCTATTTCGTGGTTCCTTTCTTTCTTTCTTTTTCTCTTTCTTTCTTTCTCTCTCTCTCTCTTTCCTTTCTTTCTTTCTTCCTTCCTTCCTTCCCTCCCTCCCTCCCTCCTTTCTTTTCTTTTCTTTTCCTTTTCTTTCTCAGAGTCTCACTCTGTTGCCCAGGCTGGAGTGCAGTGGCACCATCTCAGCTCACTGCAACCTCCGCCTCCCGGTTTCAAGAGATTCTCCTGACTCAGCCTCCCGAGTAGCCAGGATTACAGGCATGTGTCACTATGCCCGGCTACTTTTTGTGTTTTTAGTAGAGAGGTGGTTTCACCATGTTGGCCAGGCTGGTCTCGAACTCTTGACCTCAGGTGATCCACCCACCTTGGCCTCCCAAAGTGCTGGGATTACAGGCATGAGCCACCGCGCCTGGCCTTGCCTGGCTATTTCAGCCATCATTGGTTCGGGCGCGGATAGCTCCTTCCAGTGCGGTGGGCAGTCCCTCTTCCAATGGCCAGTTTTCTTACGGTGTGCACACTGATTCATGCCCAAGACACAGTGACTGGAACACCCAGCTTTGGGCTTCCTGCCTTTCTGCTTCCCTTGTTCAGTCCAAGAGCAAGGAAAGCAATCCCATGTGGGAGGTGAGCTTAAGGCTGCAGCCAAGAGCTACACCTTGTGGGAGGTCCTTCTTGCTCTTTCTGCTTCCTCTGCTTTGTCCGTTATTAAAAACTAAAAATGCCAGGCTGGGTGCGGTGGCTCACACCTGTAATCCCAGCACTTTGGGAGGCCGAGGCGGGCAGATCACGAGGTCAGGAGATCGAGACCATTCTGGCTAAAATGGTGAAACCCTGTCTCTAGTAAAAATACAAAAAATTAGCTGGGCATGGTAGCGGGCACCTGTAATCCCAGCTACTCAGGAGGCTGAGGCAGCAGAATGGCATGAACCCAGGAGGCAGAGCTTGCTGTGAGCTGAGATCGTGCCACTGCACTCCAGCCTGGGCAACAGAGCAAGGCTGCATCTCAAAAAAACCCACAAAAAACAAAAAACTAAAAATGCCATATCCAAAAGCTGTTCCATAGGAATTTGGGGACCCATAGCTGCTTTTTGTAGTTTCCTACGGGTATCAGGGGCAGAATGGGTTATAAAATGTACTCCGAAAAGGGTTTGTCCTTCCCTTGAGGCAGGATCAGTGTTACTGTAGTTTCTGATAGCCTCAATGAAACGCCCTTGAAACAAAACTGGATTCTCATCTTTACCCTGAGAAACTTCCTTAACCTTTTCAGAGTTAACAGGCTTTTTCATACCTTTCTTCATCCCTTTCAACAAACAAGTGACCATATGATCTTTCCTCCCCAAGTCCTCACTGCCCCTTTGATAGTTCCACTTTGGATCTTGATCTGGAACTGCTATACCTCCTGCCTGATATATATAATGGTTTGGGTTGTGAGCCAATACCTCGTCTGCATGGGTCCTAGCTGTCCCCAAAATGTGTTGTTTCTCTTCCACTAAACAACACAGAGACAAAAAGACATGCAGATCCTGCCAAGTTAAACTATAGGTTGGAGTTAATTTCTCCAACTCATCTATGAATTGTCCTGGATCTTCAGAGAAAAGACCAAACTTCTCTTTGCATAGAGCCAAATCAGACATAGAAAAGGGAACATGTGCTCTCACAGTGCCTTCTTCCCCATTTGCCACCTCTCTAAGTGGATAAAGGTTTCCCACTGGAGGTTGATAGGAGGCTCCAATATGAGTGGTACTTGCTGGACTAAGTTCCTCAGGGAGTGGTGGGTACAGAGTGGGACTAGACGGGTAAGAAGGAGGGGATGAAGCGTTCTCAATAGAGTTTTCAGGTGGACTAGAGGGAGAAATGACCGACACATCTGAACCTTCATAGCTGACAGAAGGAGGTTCTGCTCCACCCAAAAATGCCTGCTGTCCCTTTGTGGTCACCAGAAATATGTTACAGGACAGGGGTCCCCATCCAGGCCCCAAGAGAGGGTTCTTGGATCTTGTGAAAGAAAGAATTCAGGGCGAGTCCATAGTGCAAAGTAAAAGCAAGTTTATTAAGCAAGTAAAGTAGTGAGCCCGGTGTGGTGGCTCACGCCTATAATCCCAGCACTTTGGGAGGCCAAGGTGGGCAGATCACCTGAGGTCGGGAGTTCGAAACCAGCCTGACCAATGTGGAGAAACCCCGTCTCTAGTAAAAATACAAAATTAGCTGGGCATGGTGGTGCATGCCTGTAATCCCAGCTACTTGGGAGGCTGAGGCCGGAGAATCACTTGAACCCAGGAGGCGGAGATTGCGGTGACCCGAGCAAGTCCAGCCGTTGCAGTCCAGCCTGGGCAAGAAGAATGAAACTTCGTCTCAAAAAAAAGTAAAGTAGTGAAAGAACAGCTACACCATAGACAGAGTAGGACATTCCCGAAAGTAAGAGGAGGAATGCATCCACCCTAGGTACAATGCTTGTATATATGTGGGGAGATGTGCTCTGCTACAAGGGTTTGTTATAAAGGATTAATTTTTTAAATTACTATATTTTGCAAAAATCAATACTATTATCGATTTGCTTTAAAGCAAAATTAGGAACTATGTCTTTGTTCTCCAGATATTGGGATATCTGGATACTCTCAAGTCTGGGTCTGTTTAGTAAACTTTTTTTTTTTTTTTGAGATGGGATCTCGCTCTGTCACCCAGTCTGGAGTGCAATGGCGTGATCACGGCTCACTGCAACCTCTGCCTCCCTGGTTCAAGCAATTCTCCTGCCTCAGCCTCCTGAGTAACTGGGATTACAGGGGCACACCACCACACCCGGCTAATTTTTGTATTTTTAGTAGAGATGGGGTTTCACCATGTTGGTCAGGCTGGTCTCGAACTCCTGACCTTGTGATCTGCCCGCCTCAGCCTCCCAAAGTGCTGGGATTACAGGCGCGAGCCACCACACCTGGCCCCCCCCCTTTTTTTTTTTTTTTTTTTGAGAAGGAGTATCGCTCTGTCTCCCAGGCTGGAGTGCAGTGGCGCGATCTCAGTTCACTGCAACCTCCGCCTTCTGGGTTCAAGCAATTCTCCTGCCTCAGTCTCTTGAGTAGCTGGGATTACAGGCACCCACCACCCGCCCAGCTAATTTTTGTATTTGAGTGGAGACGGGGTTTCATCATGTTGGCCAGGCTGGGTCTCGAACTCCTGACCTTGTGATCCGCCCGGGCTAGTAATGCCTAATTTTCTGAGCATGCAGCCCAGCAAGTTCCAGCCGCATTTTCCTAGCCCTCACTCAAAATGGAGTCACTCCATCCTGGCTAACACGGTGAAACCCTGTCTCTACTAAAAATGCAAAAAATCAGCTGGGCGTGGTGCCGGGCGCCCGTAGTCCCAGCTACTCGGGAGGCTGAGGCAGGAGAACGGCGTGAACCCGGGAGGCGGAGCTTGCAATGAGCCGAGATCGCGCCACTGCACTCCAGAACAGAGCGAGACTCCGTCTCAAAAAAAAAAAAAAAAAAAAAAATGGAGTCACTCTGGGCCGGGCGCGGTGGCTCAGGCCTGTAATCCCAGCACTCTGCAAGGCCAAGGTGGGCGGATCACCTGAGGTTGGGAGTTTGAGACCAGCCTGACCAACATGGAGAAACCCCGCCTCTACAAAAAATAAAAAATCAGCTGGGTGTGGCGGTGCATGCCTGCAATCCCAGCTACTAGGGAGGCTGAGGCAGGAGAATAGCTTTAACCCAGGAGGCAGAGGCTGTGGTGAGCCGAGATTGTGCCATTGCACTCCAGCCTGGGCAACAAGAGCACAAGTGTGCCTCAAAAACAAACAAACAAAAAACCGGAGTCACTCTTGTTCGAACGCCTCCAACACTATCACTAAGTAAAGGAGAATTTATAATAAAGGAAAATTTACATCCTGTCTTTAAGTGGTAAAGGAAGGGGGAGGATAGAAAGACCTTTTTTCTTTGTCCTGCTCTAGGCAAACAGGGAAGGCAGAGAGCTCCCCCACATGTTTCTTATCTTTAATTCAACATCCTTTATGTTTTGGGGAAAAATATTCTGGCTTCCTTCAATGACCGTGCTAATAATGTCTGTTTTGTAGTCTTTTTCTGATAAATCCAAATTCATAGGCAATTTCCTCCTTTTTTGTTTTCTTCTGGTGGATCATGAATACATTTCTGTTTCTTCGTATACCTTGTACTTTGTTGGAAATGGGACATTTTGGATAATATGCTGTAGGGATTCTAGATCTTGACCCTCCTCCCCTTTAGGGTTTAATTATTTGCTTTTGTATTTGTTTAGTGACTTACTGAATTTTTTTTTTTTTTTCTGAGACAGTCTCTCTCTGTCCCCCAGGCTGGAGTGCAGTGGCACGATCTTAGCTTACTGCAACCTCCATCTCCCGGTTTCTCCTGCCTTCTCCTGCCTCAGACTCCCAAGTTGCTGGGATTACAGGTGCCTGCCACTGTATCTGGCTAATTTTTGTAGTTTTAGTAGAGACGGGGTTTCACCATGTTGGCCAGGCTGGTCTCGAACTCCTGACCTCAGGTGATCCACCCGCCTTGGTCTCCCAAAGTACTGGGATCACAGGCATGAGCCACTGCGCCCAGCTGACTTACTGGATTTTTTTTTTTTTTTTTTTTTTTTTTTTGAGACGGAGTCTCACTCTGTCCCCCAGGCTGGAGTGCAGTGGCATGATCTCGGCTCACTGCAACCTCTGCTCCCGGGTTCACGCCATTCTCCTGCCTCAGCCTCCCAGGTAGCTGGGACTACAGGCGCCCGCCACCACGCCTGGCTAATTTTTTTTGTATTTTTAGTAGAGATGGGATTTCACCATGTTAGCCAGGATGGTATCCATCTCCTGACCTCGTGATCCGCCCGCCTTGGCCTCCCAAAGTGCTGGGATTACAGGCATGAGCCACCGCACCTGGTCTGACTTACTGGAATCTTTTAGTGAAGGCTGTCTTTTCTCTCACAGAGTAAATCCTCTTTCTTCCTTTTCTTTATTTTCTTTCTTTTTTTGACAGAGTGTTGCTCTAGTTGCCCAGGCTGGAGTGCAATGGTGCGATCTCAGCTCCCCACAACCTCCACCTCCCAGGTTCAAGCGATTCTTCCTCCTCAGCCTTCCCAAGTAGCTGGGATTATAGGCATGTGCCACCAAGCCTGGCTCATTTTGTATTTTTAGTAGAGATAGGGTTTCTCCATATGGGTCAGGCTGGTCTCCAACTCCCGACCTCAGGTGATCCTCCCACCTCAGCCTCCCAAAGTGCTGGGATTACAGGCATGAACCACCGTGCCCCACCACTTTCTTTCTTTTTTCTTTCCTTCTTTCTCTTTTTCTTTCTTTCTTTTTTTTTTTTGACAGAGTCTTTGTTCTGTCGCCCAGGCTGTAGTGTAATGGTGTGATCTCGGTTCACTGCAATCTCTTTCTCCTGGGTTCAAGCAATTCTCATGCCTCAGCCTCCTGAGTAGCTGGAATTACAGGTGACTGCCACCATGTCCAGCTAATTTTCGTATTTTTGGTAGAGACGCCATGTTGGCTAGGCTGGTCTCGAACTCCTGACCTCAGGTGACACCTTGGCCTCCCAAAGTGCTGGGATTACAGGTGTGAGCCACCGTGCTCGGCCAATCCTCCTTGTTTCTTAAGGAGGTACAGCTATGGGTAAATCCATAGCTGTCTTGGGATGACAGTTGCCTTGATAGAGGTGTTGTCCTGTCTTTCCCTGACAACACCCTGCAGTTTAATTTAATTAAGTTAAATTAAGCAGCTGATTGCTTAAGAGTTTTCAACAATGATGGGGGCAGGGCATAAATTGCTCTTCAAAGTAATCCAATCAAATGTGCTCCTTTGAAGGAATAGTTTCTGATCTCAGTGTTTTGCATTTGTCCTAATCCTAGGAGGCCTCTTCTCACCTGTCTTATTCACCATTCCCTCTTATAAACTAGCGGTTCTCCAGTTCTGCCTTTCACTTTAACCTTCATTGTTTAATTGCTTTTCATTGAGAGCACCCATGATCTTGCAAATGGGAGGAGATTAGAAGCTACCTGTTTTACTGCCTGCTTCTCTCCCCTGGCAAAATCTCAGAGAACAGGGTAAAGACAATGGCAAGTTCTTGCTGAGTGACACCTGGACGCTAGGACCTAAGCACTCAGTGGGTGGGGAAGTGTGGGAGAAGCCAAATTCCTCTCCACTGGCCTCTCTTGAAATGCAAAGTACTGGGACGAGGGTGACCAGGGCTCCAGTCTCCTCAGTGCACCATGCCTAAGGTAGCACCTTTGTCCTGCAAGTTGGGACTGAATAGCGGAAGAGAAACTGCTACTCTCAGCTGTACTTGCCTACTATCTTAGATTAAACAACAGGTAGCTGGAGGCAGGATGAGAAACGCTGACCTTTTCCTCATCCCAAAGATAAAGCCTTCTTTTTTATTTTTATTTTTTATTTTGAGACGGAGTCTCACTCTGTCGCCCAGGCTGGAGTGCAGTGGCAGGATCTCATCTGACTGCACCCTCCGCCTCCCGGGTTCAAGCTATTCTTCTGCCTCAGCCTCCTGGGTAGCTGGGACTACAGGAGTGCGCAACCAGGCCCGGCTAATTTTCATATTTTTAGTAGAGACGGGGTTTCACCATTGTTGGGAACAAGCCCCCCAAAATCTGGCCATAAACTGGCCCCAAAACTGGCCATAAACAAAATCTCTGCAGCACTGTGACATGTTCATAATGGCCCTAACGCCTGCACTGGAAGGTTGTGGGTTTACGGGAATGAGGGCAAGGAACACCTGGCCCGCCCAGGGCAGAAAACCGCTTAAAGGCATTCCTAAACCACAAACAATAGCATGAGCAATCTGTGCCTTAAGGACATGCTCCTGCTGCAGTTAACTAGCCCAACCTATTCCTTTAATTCGGCCCATCTCTTTGTTTTCCATAAGGGATACTTTTAGTTAATTTAATATCTATAGAAACAATGCTAATGACTGGCTTGCTGTTAATAAATACGTGGGTAAATCTCTGTTCGGGCCTCTCAGCTCTGAAGGCTGTGAGACCCCTGATTTCCCACTTCACACCTCTATATTTCTGTGTGTGTGTCTTTAATTCCTCTAGCGCTGCTGGATTAGGGTCTCCCCCACCGAGCTGGTCTCAGCACACCATATTGGCCAGGCTGGTCTCAAACTCTTGACCTCATGATCCACCCGCCTCGGCCTCCCAAAGTGCTGGGATTACAGGTGTGAGCCACTGCACCTGGCCAGATAAAGCCTTCTGACTAAGAGCTGCAGGGAGAGGGAGCCCTGTCTGGCAGCAGCAATCTGCAGCAGATTCTCTGCCTTGCTGATCTGATAGGGAGGAGAGTGGTGGCAGTCTTGGTTCAGATACCTGAGATGCTTGCTTTTCCTACAGAATATTCATAGATTTTATTGAATAAGTGTTTCTGCATTTTCCTGTTGCCCTTATGACAATTTCTAGAGTTTTTGTTTGTTTGTTTGTTTGTTTTTGAGACAGGATCTGCAGCCTTGACCTCCTAGGCTCAGGCAATCCTCCTGCCTCAGCCTCTTGAGTAGCTGGGACCATAGGTGCATGCTACCATGCCCAGTTATTTTTTAATTTATCTGTAGAGACGGGGTCTCCCCATATTGTCCTGGCTGGTCTCAAATTCCTCGGCTCAAGCAATTCTTCCACCTGAGCCTTCCAAAGTGGTGGGATTATAGGTATGAGCCACTGTGACCAGCTCGTTTCTAGAGGTTTTAAGTAGTTGGGTCTTTATAGTTTTCACAAGTCTTACTGGAGAATAGGTCATGGAGCTCCTCATGCTTTCATGCTGGAATTTGGTATTCTACTTATGTCTGTTTTTTTTGTTTTGTTTTGTTTTTTGTGATGGAGTCTCACTCTGTTGCCCAGGCTAGAGTGTAGTGGTACAATCTCAGCTCACTGCAATCTCTGCCTCCCAGGTTCAAGTGATTCTCCTGCCTCAGTCTCCCGAGTAGCTGGAATTACAGGCATGTGCCACCATGCCCAGCTAATTTTTTGTATTTGTAGTAGAAATGGGGTTTTACCATGTTGCCCAGTCTGGTCTTCAATTCCTGACCTCAGGTGATCTACCTGCCTTGGCCTCCCAAAGTGCTGGGATTACAGGCATGAGCCAATGCCTAGCGTGTTATAGTCTTTTTGTTAAAGTTCTGAAAACATTGATTTTTACCATTTCTGCCAGTATTCTTATGGCATTAATGGATGTAAACCAAAAATAAAATTCTAAGCCCCCCAACCACCTGAATGGATTCCTCCTCTTGGCCAAGGGCATTCCAAAATAAACCTGAAACATTATTTCAGACCATCATGGGAATGGGTGGTGGGACAGGCCACATTATACCTTCCTCTCGTTGAAATTCAGGCACAACTGACCAGCATTAACATTAAAACAGAGACCTTGAGACGGAGAGAGCAGACTCTGTAGCAATAAGATACCAACATGACAGATTGCAGTCACAAAATAAATAAAAAGGCCGAGCGTGGTGGCTCATGTCTGTAATCCCAGCACTTTGGGAGGCTGAGGCATGTGGATCACCTGAGGTTAGGAGTTCGAGACCAGCTTGACCAACATGGTGAAACTCCATCTCTACTAAAAATACAAAAAATTAGCCAGGCGTGGTGGTGCATGTCTGTAATCCCAGCTACTTGGGAGGCTGAGACAG
Source organism: Homo sapiens (assembly GCF_000001405.40). Classification (NCBI taxonomy): domain Eukaryota; kingdom Metazoa; phylum Chordata; class Mammalia; order Primates; family Hominidae; genus Homo; species Homo sapiens. The sequence continues at coordinate 128,660,867 of NC_000003.12, read as the reverse complement.
GAGAATTGCTTGAACCCAGGAGTTGGAGGTTGCAGTGAGCCAAGCTTGTGCCACTGCACTCCAGCCTGGGCAACAGAGTGAGACTCTGTCTCAAAAAAAAAAAAAATAAATAAATAAAAATATTTTATCCCAAAATATATTGCTTCGACATATTTTGAAATGGGCCTGCAAAACTGTCTCTTTAAGTCTGATAAAAACATTTACAATCTATTCTCTTTGAAGCCTGCATAATAGAACCTGAATTTCATCTGCATAATAAGAACCCCTTATTTTAACCCCAGACACTCCCTTCTATTGATTCCAAGGCTTTAGATAAACTCTCAACCAATAACCAATCAGAAAATCTTTGAGTCCACCGATAACCTGGAATGCACCCCCTTCCTGCTTTGAGTCATCCCACCTTTCCAGATGGAACCAATGTACATCTTTTGTTTTTTTTTTTGAGACAGAGTCTCACCCTGTTGCCCAGGCTGGAGTGCAATGGAGCGATTTTCGCTCACTGCAACATCTGCCTCCCAGATTCAAACGATTCTCCTGCCTCAGCCTCCCGAGTAGCTGGGATTACAAGTGCCCACCACGACGCTCATCTAATTTTTGTTTTATTAGTAGAGACGGGGTTTCACCATGTTGGCCAGGCCGGTCTCGAACTCCTGACCTCGTGATCCACCCGCTGCAGCCTCCCAGAGTGCTGGGATTACAGGCTTAAGCCACCACGCATGGTGGAACCAATATACATCTTACATATATTGACTGATGTCTAAAATGTGTAAAACCAAGCTGTAACCCTACCACCTTGGCACAGGATCTCCTCTCGCTGTGTCACAGGCCATGGTCAATCACATTTGACTCACATTTCAAATATTTTACAAAGTTTCACACTTTTTGTTGACTTGGAGGACAGAATTTTTTAGAGGTCCTGACTTTCCCATTCCTACTGATATTGTCTTACCCATATAATACTCACAGAAGTCTTTACCTTTCTTTTCATCTAGGATGTTTTCGCTTTTTGGTATTACAGGCAATGCTTCTGCGTATATTTTTGTCTATGTAGCTGGGGGTACATGTGCTCACATTTCTCTAGGGTATATGTTTAGGAATGACATTGGTAGGCCGCAGGGTTTGCATATCTTTTTTTTTTTTTTTTTGAGACAGAGTCTCGCTCTGTAGCCCAGGCTGGAGTGCAGCAGCGTGATCTCAGCTCACTGCAAGCTCCACCTCCCGGGTTCACGCCATTCTCCTGCCTCAGCCTCCCGAGTAGCTGGGACTACAGGTGCCCACCACCGCGCGCGGCTAATTTTTTGTATTTTTAGTAGAGATGGGGTTTCACCATGGTCTCAAACTCCTGACCTCGGATGATCTACCTGCCTCAGCCTCCCAAGGTGTTGGAATTACAGACGTGAGCCATCGTGCCTGGCCTGCACTTCCCTAATTATTAATGACATTATATGTCCTATAACCCCACTGGCCATTTGTATACTCTTCTTTTTTTTTGTTGTTTTTTGAGACAGAGTCTCGCTCTGTCACCCAGCCTGGGGTGCAGTGACGCAATCTCGGCTCACTGCAACGTCGGCCACGTGGGTTCAAGCAATTCTCTGCCTCGGCCTCCCAAGTAGCTGGGATTACAGGTGCCTGCCACTACGCCCGGCTAATTTGTTTTGTATTTTGGCCAGGCTGATCTTGAACTCCTGACCTCATGATCCATCCGCCTCAGCCTCCCAAAGTGCTGGGATTACAGGCATGAGCCACTGCGCCCTGCTGTATATTCTTCTTTTAGAAGTACGGCGTCAATTCTTCTGCTCATTTTTCTATTATCTTTTTCTTAGTAAGTTGTCTTTTTGTGTATATTTTGGGTATGAGTTTTCTGCCTGTTAGATGTATTTCAATTATCTTCTCCCACTCTGAAGCTTTCTTTCTACTCCGTTAATGGTATCTTTTTCTCTAATTTTGAATTTCTGATATATAGGAATTGAAAAAATAATAGAGAGAATTCTTGCCTGATCTAGGAGTGTCTGCGCAGCTGCCAATTTGCATCTGGCATCTTTCACCCAGCATTCCCTTATGTGAACATCTTACAAAATAATAAAGAATTGGGTGGGCATCCTTTTTTCTTTTCTTTTTTTTTTTTTTTGAGACGGAGTCTCGCTCTGTCGCCCAGGCTGGAGTGCAGTGGCACGATCTCGGTTCACTGAAAGCTCCGCCTGCCAGGTTCACGCCATTCTCCTGCCTCAGCCTCCAGAGCCTGGGACTACAGGTGCCCCCCACAATGCCCGGCTAATTTTTTGTATTTTTAGTAGAGACGGGGTTTCACTGTGTTAGCCAGGATGGTCTCGATCTCCTGACCTCGTGATCTGCCCGCCTCGGCCTCCCAAAGTGCTGGGATTACAGGCATGAGCCACCGCGCCCGGCCTTTTTTTTTTTTTTTTTTTTTTTTGAGACGGAGTTGCCACCTCCTCCTACCGGGTTCAAGCGATTCTCCTGCTTCAGCCTCCCCAGTAGCTGGGATTACAGGCATGTGCCACCACGCCCGGGACATGTTGGTCTCCATGTTGGTCAGGCTGGTCTGCAACTCCTGACCTCAGGTGATCCGCCCGCCTTGGGCCTCCGAAAATGTTGGGATTACAGGCATAAGTGACCGCGCCTGGCACCCCGTCTTTTTTTTTGTTTTTTTTTAGACGGAGTCTTGCTCTTGTCGCCCAGGCTGGAGTACGATGCCATGATCTCAGCTCACTGCAACCAATGCCTCATGTTATCAGTGTCTGTGAAGGAGAAAGCAGAGAGAAGCAATAGGGCAACTGATGGGCTTGAGAACAGCAGAACCCCAAAACACACAACTGGGATTCCCTAGCGAGCACAGCAGGCCAATGTGAGGAGTGGCTGAAACTCGGAGCAGTTGTGCCCTGCCTAATGGTGAGTGAAACGGGCCTGCAGAAGGTCTACGAGTCTGCAGCAGTCTAGTCCCTGAGAGCAGAACTCCCCTTCTGTGACAGTGCCCTACAATGAGGAGAAACTACTCAACAGAATCAAAATTGAGCATGATAGGGACAAGGGAGCTCAAAAACCGAGCAGGGGAAAGCTCAGAAAGCAAGCCACATGTTTTTGCAGTATACTACATGAAAACAGCAGAGATCTGGGAAGGTACAAAGGCCATCCTAAACCATCCCTCCTTCCGAAAGGTCACATTAAAAATGATCAACAGACAGTGGTTCATGCCTGTAATCCCAGCACTTTGGGAGGCAGAGGTGGGCAGATCACCTGAGGTGAGGAGTTCGAGACCAGCCTCACCAACATGGTGAAACCCCGTCTCTACTAAATTTTTTTTGTATTTTTAGTAGAGATGGGGTTTCACCGTGTTAGCCAGGATGGTCTCGATCTCCTGACCTCATGATCCCCCTGCCTCGGCCTCCCAAAGTGCTGGGATTACTGGCGTGAACCACGGCGCCCGGCTCGTTTTTTCGTTTAAAACTTTTCTGGGCTGGGTGTGGTGGTGTGCGCCTGTAATCCCAGTTACTCAGGATGCTGAGGCAGAGGAATCGCTTGAACCTGGAAGATGGAGGTTGCAGTGAGCCGAGATTGTGCCACTGCACTCCAGCCTGGGCGACAGAGTGAGACTCGGTGTCAAAAAAAAAAAAAAAAAAGGAAAAAAAAAACAAAAAATGATTCAAGACAAAGTGCAAAATATTGAAGATGGGTAAAACCGAACAGTAAAATAAGAGGAATCCCCAAAAAAGAAGACTTTCAAAAAGGTTTGAAACTACAAGCTGAAAGAACATAATGCATGCCCAGAACTATCACTGCTAAGATATGTTCTAATAAAATATTAAGGCTTTAGGCTGGGTGAGTGGCTCACACCTTTAATCCCAGCACTTTGGGAGGCCGATGCAGGTGGATCACCTGAGGTCAGGAGTTCGAGACCAGCCTGGCCAACATGGCGAAACTCTGTCTCTACTAAAAATACAAAAATTAGCTGGGCATGTTGGCGCATGCCTATAATCCCAGCTACTCAGGAGGCTGAGGCAGGAGAATGGCTTGAACCCAGGAGGTGGATGTTGCAGTGAGCCGAGATTGCGACACTGCACTCCAGCCTGGGCAACAGAGTGAGATGCCATCTCAAAAAAACAAAAAACAAAAAAACACACAAAAAAAGTTATTTGCAGAAATTTGTGGCTGGCCTGCAGGTGGTAATTTGCAGACTCATGCTCTGTAGGGAAGGAACATGCCCTCCTGGTTCCTACTTCTCATTAGCTGGTGCTCTGATTTACATGTTTTTGTACCCTCCAAAAATTCATATTGGAATTTATTCCCTAATGCCACAGAATTGGAAGGAGTGGCCTTTGGGAGATGATTGAGTAATGAAGGCTTTGCCTTTGTGAATTGTATTAAGTTCCCTTATAAAATGGCTTGATGGGGGGGGAGTTCACTGCTTTTTTGCCCTTCTTCCATATGAACACCCAGCATTCCTTTCCCTGGAAGATGCAGCATCAAGCCACCCTCTTAAAAGCAGAGAGCAGCCCTCACCAGACAGCCAGTCCTGCTGATGTCTTTTTTTTTTTTTTTTGAGACGGAGTCTCGCTCTGTCGCCCAGGCTATAGTGCAGTGGCATGATCTCGGCTCACTGCAAGCTCCGCCTCCCGGGTTCACACCATTCTCCTGCCTCAGCCTCCAGAGTAGCTGGGACTACAGGCAACCGCCATCACGCCCTGCTAATTTTTCTATTTTTAGTAGAGACGGGGTTTCACCGTGTTAGCCAGGATGGTCTCAAACTCCTGACCTTGTGATCTGCCCGCCTAGGCCTCCCAAAGTGTGGGATTACAGGCGTGAGCCACCGCGCCCAGCCTGGTTTCGATCCCTTGACCTCGTGATCCGCTTGCCTCAGCCTCCCAAGGTGCTGGGATTACAGGTGCGAACCACTGTGCCTGGCTGAGTTTTGACTAATATAGATAATAACAGAAATTTGGAGTGTGAAGGAACTGTTCTGAACATTCTTCCATGTGCATTTGGTGGGCTCAGTATTTTTGTTTCCTGTGATATCTGGTTAGTTCTATATTTCCAAAATTAGGGAATAAGGAGGTTTCGCTAATCTGCTGATGTGCAGTGTGGTATTTCTCACGTTTACTTGACTATGTGGAAACACTTTTCTAGAGCTTTTTACTGAGACTTGCAACACCCCAGTCACTCTGGAAGTCATCAATGGGGAAGAAATGGAGGGAACCTTGGTGTTCTCCTTTCCCACAAGGAAAATCAGGTGCACATACAACCTATGAGGAGACATGGAGGTAAGAAGGATTAATATTTGAAGAGTCGGTTATTTTGTAGAATTTTCTTCAATTTTGGTTTGTCTGATTTTATCTATTTTTTTTATTATTACTATTTTTTTGAGATGGAGTCTTGCTCTGTCACCCAGGCTGGAGTGCAGTGGCATGATCTTGGCTCACTGCAACTTCTGTCTCCTGGGTTCAAATGATTCTCCGGCCTCAACCTCCCAGGTAGCTGGAATTACAGGTGTGTGCCACCATACCTGGCTAATTTTTTGTATTTTTAGTAGACACGGGGTTTCACCATGTTGGCCTGGCTGGTCTTGAACTCCTGACCTCAGGTGATCTGCCTGCCACAGCCTCCCAAAGTTTTGGGATTACAGGCGTGAGCCATGGCGTCCGGCCTTCTTTTTTCTTTTTTTTTTTTTTTTGAGACAAAGTCTCACTTTGTCATCCAGGGTGGAGTGCAGTGTCATGATCACAGCTCACTGCAGCTACAACCTCCCAGGCCCAAGTGATCCTCCCACTTCAGCCTCTTGAGTAGCTGGGACTACAGGGGCATGCCACCACACTAGGCTAATTTAAAATATTTTTTGTAAAGATAGAATGTTGCTATGTTGTCCAGACTGGTCTCAAACTCCTTGGGGTCAAGCAATCCTCCTGCCTTGGCCTTCCAAAGTGCTGTGATTACAAGCATGAGCCACCATGCCCAGCCTTGTTTTGTTTTTTGAGACAGGGTCTTGCTGTCACCCAGGCTGAAGCGGCATGAACATAGCTTACTGAAGCCTTGATCTCCGGGGCTCCAGTGATCCTCCTGCTTCAGCCTCTCAAGTAGCGGAGACTACAGGTGTCAGAGGCATGTGAACGACAACAACTCCATCCTGAATAGGAACTGGGTAAAACGAGGTTGAAACCTGTGAGCTGCATTCCCATACAGTTAAGGCATTTTAAGTCACAGCGTGTTGGGAATTGGTGGGTTCTTGGTCTCACTGACTTCAAGAATGAAACCGCAGACCCTTGCGGTGAGTGTTACAGTTCTTAAAGGTGGCGTGTCTGGAGTTTGCTCCTTCTGATGTTTGGATGTGTTCGGAGTTTCTTCCTTCTGGTGGGGTTCGTGGTCTCGCTGGCTCGGGAGTGAAGCGGAGGACCTTCGCGGTGAGTGTTAACAGCTCTTAAGGAGGCGCGTCTGGAGTTGTTCGTTCCTCCCGGTAGGTTTGTGGTCTCGCTGGCTTCAGGAGTGAAGCTGCAGACCTTCGTGGTGTGTGTTACAGCTCATAAAGGCAGCGTGGACCCAAAGAGTGAACAGCAGCAAGATTTATTGCCAAGAGCGAAAGAACAAACTCTCCAGTGTGGAAGGAGACCCCAGCGGGTTGCCACTGCTGGCTCTGGCAGCCTGCCTTTATTTTCTTATCTGGCCCTACCCACATCCTGCTGATTGGTTCATTTTACAGAGAGGGGAGAGGTCTGTTTTGACAGTGTGCTGATTGGTGTCTTTATAATCCCTGAGCTAGACACAAAGGTTCTCCACGTCCCCACTAGATTAGCTAGATACAGAGTGTCCACACAAAGGTTCTCCAAGTCCCCACCAGAGTAGTTAGATACAGAGTGTCAACTGGTGCATTCACAAACCCTGAGCTAGACACAGGGTGCTGATTGGTGTGTTTACAAACCTTGAGCTAGATACAGACTGCCGATTGGTGTATTTACAATCCCTTAGCTAGACATAAAGATTCTCCAAGTCCCCAACAGTCTCAGGAGCCCAGCTGGCTTCACCCAGTGAATCCTGCACCCGGGCGGCAGGGGGAGCTGCCTGCCAGTCCCCGGCCGTGCGCCCGCACTCCTCAGCCCTTGCGTGGTCGATGGGACTGGGCGCCTTGGAGCAGGGGGCGGCGCTCGTCGGGGAGGCTGGGGCCGCACAGCAGCCCACGGAGGAGGGGGAGGCTCAGGCATGGCGGGCTGCAGGTCCCGAGCCCTGCCCTGCGGGGAGGCAGCTAAGGCCCGGCGAGAAATCGAGTGCAGCGCCCGTGGGCCGGCACTGCTGGGGGACCCAGCACACCCTCCGCAGCCGCTGGCCGGGGTGCTAAGCCCCTCATTGCCCAGGGCTGGCAGGGCCGGCCGGCCGGCCGCTCCGAGTGCGGGGCCCGCCAAGCCCAGGCCCACCCAGAACTCCAGCTGGCCCGCAAGCGCCGTGCGCAGCCTCGGTTCCCGCTCGCGCCTCTCCCTCCACACCTCCCTGCAAGCTGAAGGAGCCGGCTCCGGCCTTGGCCAGCCCAGAAGGGGGCTCCCACAGTGCAGCGGTGGGCTGAAGGGCTCCTCAAGCGCGGCCAGAGTGGGCGCCAAGGCCGAGGAGGCGCCGAGAGCGAGGGAGGGCGCACGCTGTCACCTCTCAACAGGATGAGATAGAAGGTCGGCACAAAATACTGGTCATAAAGACCTTACTGATAAAACAGGTTGCGGTAAAGGAGCCGGCCAAAACCCACCAAAACCAAAATGGCAATGAGTCCTCACTACTACACTCCCACCAGCGCCATGACAGTTTGCAAATGCCATGGCAACATCAGGAAGTTATCCTATATGGTCTAAAAAGGGGAGGCATGAATAATCCACCCCTTGTATAGCATATCATCAAGAAATAACCATAAAGATGGGCAACCAGCAGTCCTCGGGCTGCTCTGTCAATGGAGTAGCCATTCTTTTATTCTTTTACTTTCTTAATAAACTTGCTGGCTGGGGGCGGTGGCTCATGCCTGTAATCCCAGCACTTTGGGAGGCTGAGGCAGGTGGGTCACGAGGTCAGGAGTGCAAGACCAGCCTGGCCAAGATGTTGAAACCCCGTCTCTACTAAAAATACAAAAATTAGCCGGGCGTGGTGGCGGGCGCCTGTAATCGCAGCTACTTGGGAGGCTAAGGCAGAGAATTGCTTGAACCCGGGAGGCACAGGTTGCTGTGAGCCAAGACTGCGCCACTGCAATCCAGCCTGGGCAACAGAGCGAGACTCCATCTCAAATAAATAAATAAATAAAATAAAAAATAATAAACTTGCTTTCACTTTGCACTGCGGACTCATCCTGAATTCTTTCTTGCGTGAGATCCAGGAACCCTCTCTTGGGGTCAGGATCCAGACCCCTTTCCTGTAACACAGGCACTTGTCACCAGGCCCGGCTGATTTTTGATTTTTTGTAGAGATGGGGTTTTACCCTGTTGCCCGGTCTAGTTTTGAACTCCTTGGCTCAAGGGATCCTCCCTACTTGGCCTCCCAAAGTGCTGGGATTGGTGGCATGAGCCACTGTGCCTGGCCTTGTCTGATATTTATGACTAGATTGAGGTAATGGATTTTCAATAATTTTGTGGCAATACCACAGAAGTGATGTGCCTTTCTCAATGGATCCTATTAGTAGATACCTAATGTTACTATATTTTATATGTGGTGATGTTAACTTTGATCACTTGTTTAAAGTGGTGCCTGCCAGGATTCTCCACTGTAAACTATTTTTTCCTTTGTAATTACTAAACATTTTATTTTTATTTTTTAATTTCCTTTTGAGAGGGAGTCTCGCCCAGTCGCCCAGGCTGGAGTGCAGTGGCACGATCTTGGCTCACTGCATCTCCTGCCTCCCGGGTTCAAATGATTCTGGTACCTCAGCCTCTGGAGTAGCTGGGATTACAGGCACGCACCACCACACCCGGCTAATTTTATTTTATTTATTTATTTATTTATTTTGAGAAGGAGTCTCACCCTGTCGCCTAGGCTGGAGTGCAATGGCGCGATCTTAGCTCACTGCAACCTCCGCCTCCCAGGTTCAAGCGATTCTCCTGCCTCAGCCACCCCAAGTAGCTGGAATTACAGGCGCCTGCCACCACGCCCGGCTAATTTTTTGTATCTTTAGTATAGACGGGGTTTCACCATGTTGGCCAGGCTGGTCTCGAACTCCTGACCTCAGGTGATCCACCCGCCTCGGCCTCCTAAAGCGCTGGAATTACAGGCGTGAGTCACCGTGCCCGGCCTAATTACTAAACATTTTAGTAGAGATGTTTTGAAACTTTGCATATATCCTGTTTCGGCTTCAAGTTCTGCCTACTAATTTTAGCATTCATCCGTGGATGTTGGGGAAGGCCAACTTTTACTTTCTCAATCTGAGCAAAATTTCACTGTTTTAAGGAGCAAAACGAGCAGAATTATTGGACAGGAAGAATGGTAGGAGAGAGTAGAGACCTAGGCAAGGGCCGCTCCTGTAAAAATTAGGTAAGTGAAAACTAGTAATAATAAGTACACTCGCGGCTGGGCGCAGTGGCTCACGCTTGTAATCCAGCACTTCGGGAGGCCGAGGTGGGCGGATCACGAGGTCAGGAGATGGAGGCCACAGTGAAACCCCATCTCTACTAAAAATATAAAAAAAAATTAGCCGGGCGTGGTGGCGGGCGCCTGTAGTCCCAGCCACCCGGGAGGCTGAGGCAGGAGAATGGTGTGAACCCGGGAGGCGGAGCTTGCAGTGAGCTGAGATCGTGCCACTGCACTCCAGCCTGGGCGACAGAGCGAGACTCCGTCTCAAAAAAAAAAAAAAAAAAAAAAAAAAAAAAAAAAAAAAGTAAGTACACTCGCACTACGAACAGAAGGATATCCCGAGCAGCTCTGAGAGGGCTTTAGCAATCAGGCGCCGGGTCGGCTTCCCGGTTGCCCCGGAGACAGGGTCCTTCCTTGTTCGGCGCCGCCATCTTGTGTCACCAGCCCTTGCCCAATGAACGGCTGCTCAGTGGCGGGAGGGCGGGCTACCGCGCCCGGGCCCTACCCGCCCTGGCGCACTGCTCTTCCCGGTCATGGAGGCGCCAGCCGCCGGCTTGTTTCTGCTCCTGTTGCTTGGGACTTGGGCCCCGGCGCCGGGCAGCGCCTCCTCCGAGGCACCGCCGCTGATCAATGAGGACGTGAAGCGCACAGTGGACCTAAGCAGCCACCTGGCTAAGGTGACGGCCGAGGTGGTCCTGGCGCACCTGGGCGGCGGCTCCACGTCCCGAGCTACCTCTTTCCTGCTGGCTTTGGAGCCTGAGCTCGAGGCCCGGCTGGCGCACCTGGGCGTGCAGGTGAGTGTGGGCGACCCCTCGCCGCCGCTCCCGGGACCCTTCCCGCCTCCCTTCCTGGCGGTCCCCCGACTCCGCCCGCGCCCCTCTAGGCCTCAGGAAATGCGGAGACCCGGGCGGCGGGCGGGGCACAGGGGGTCCGTGGGATTGCCTCGGGGCCCGCGAGGAGTCCTGGGTGGCCAGGGGCCCCGGCGCCTCCGCTGCCCCCGGTGCGCGCCCGCCCTCCTGCCTGGGCCACGTCAGCACCGGCCTGCCCCCGCGCGGGTCGCTGCTCACGTGGGCAGCTGCTGGGATCCGCGGCCGACCAGCCTCGGAGCTTGCCCCTGTTTGGGCCGTTCTCGGCACCGCTCGGGAGACCTCGGGCCGGTAGAACGCACCTCCCTTCCGTAAGGCGAGCGCGGCAGCCCCTCGGCCCGGTGCCAGCGGGCGCCAGACTTCATTTCTCACGGCCCGACGAGGTGGCTCAAGTAGAGGACAAATAAATGAATTAAAGTGAATTTCATTCTCTTAATTCAGTATCTGGTCCGTTGTAGGTGCTTCTTTCTAGACATAGAGAACCATCAGAAATGTAACAGGTTTCGCATTTTTAAGTTGGTAATCACTTGAAATCCCTATGAATGTGATGCATTTTAAGGTTCCTAGTGAACGCTTTCTAAATGTTAAAACTCTTTTTAAAGTTAGTTTTAAAACTCCTGCACGTAATATAAGTTCTCTTATGCTGTACAGAAAAGGAAAGTCCAATTTTCTCCCTTCCCCCTGCTGCTTCTCATTCTTACACCTCGGCAATAAATGGCTGTGTTTGGCTTAAATGTTTCCAGGTATTTCAGTGATCACCAAAGAAAATGTTGGGTTTGGGAGTAAAGGGAATGTACATACACAGAGGTTTGGTTTTTATTACTATTGTTGTTAAACAATTTCATTAAATGATTACCTAATTATTTGTTGAGAGAATAGTCATTATAGTGTCACATTTCTTCTAAGCACACTTCGTTCTCTGACTGAATATGGAGCTATAAAGATGGGTTTATAGAGATTACGTTTCTGAAATGACTCCTATTTTCTTTCATGCGTTGTCCATGATGAAATAAAGTTTTACTCAAAGGCTTGTGGAAAGATAGATCAAAACTTCATGTAAATTTGCCTTGCCATCTTTGAATGTCTTGAATGTTAAATCCCGTTCTTTATAGAAGCCAGTTGTGATTTAATGAGCTTGTTACAGTATAAGTGGACCACAGCAGGAGCTCGGCTATCCTGCCATCATGCCTGCGAGCTAGGTTAATGTACTTATTTTATCTTGTTTTTATTTTTTCTCCCAACTTTATTGAGGTATAATTGGTATACAAAAAACTGCCTATTATTAGTATATTCAAAATACGTATACACTGGTGTAACCATTACCACAATCCGGGTAATAAACATATCTGTCACCTCCAGAAGTTTCCTTTTGTCCTTTAGTTTGTTTGTTTCTGTGGTAAGATACTTTCTTACTGGGACTCTACTGTGTGTCAGATATTATGGTGGGTATTTTAAATATATTCTCATTTAGCCCTCATAGCAACCATTTAAGGTATAAATCCTCATATAGCAGGCAAGGAGGCTGTAGTCTGTCAGGTTAAGTTATTTAGCCCCTTACATGCGGTCTTACAGTGCAGAGTAAGTCAGGGCTCCAGCTTATTCCGTAAGTTGTGTGTTCTCACACTGTATAATGTTGCCTCTTCTGGCTTTTATGGCTGTGAGATAGGATTGTATTGGGTATAAGACTTGCAGTCACATTAACAGATTTATTTAAAATCATTTTCAATTTTGTAGTCCAAGACACCAGTTAAATGGATATATGTGCTATTTTGTACTCCTATCCCAGTGGGAAACAACTGGATGATAAACTTAACAAGGAGATGTATATTTTCCAACAGTTGTGTTGGAAACTGATGAGGTTGCTGAAATGTTTTTCAGTGGGTTCTTTTCTTTTTCTTTTTTTTTTTGAGACGGAGTTTCACTCTCGTTGCCCATGCTGGAGTGCAATGGCGCTATCTTGGCTCACTGCAACCTCTGCCTCCTGGGTTCAAGCAATTCTCCTGTCTCTCCTCTGGAGTAACTGGGATTACAGGTGCATGCCACCACGCCTGGCTAATTTTTGTATTTTTTTTTTGATGCAGAGTCTTGCTCTGTCGCCAGGCTGGAGTGCGGTGGTGCAATCTCGGCTCACTGCAACCTCTGCCTCCCAGGTTCAAGTGATTCTCCTGCCTCAGCCTCCGGAGTAGCTGGGACTACAGGCGCGTGCTGCCACGCCCAGCTAATTGTTGTATTTTTTTTGTAGAGACAGGGTTTCACGCATGTTGGCCAGGATGGTCTTGATCTCTTGACCTCATGATCCGCCCACCTCGGCCTCCCAAAGTGCTGAGATTACAGGTGTGAGCCACTGCGCCCGGCCAATTTTTGTATTTTTAGTAGAGACAGGGTTTCATCATATTGGTCAGGCTGCTCTCGAACTCCTGACCTCAGGTGATCTACCTGCCTCGGCCTCCCAAAGTGCTGGGATTGCAGGCGTGAGCCACCATTCCTGGCCTTCAGTGGGTTATTTTCAAACCCTTGTAGAATTTTAGGAGCTAGCAGAAGGGACCATGGTGGTTACTGACTAGGAGCCAGTGGTTGCTTCTCTTTTTACCACCAAGGACCCATCTAATGATTTTTCCTCTCTTTTGGATCCTGTATCTGAAATATTTTGGCATGCTAATATTTTATTAAGTAACAATATTTTTCAATAAAACAAATAAGTCTGTATAACTGAACACAATGAGAGTTCCTGATACACACACATATACTAGAATGTTCCTTTTTTTTTTTTTTTTCTTGAGGCAAGTTCTCAATCTGTTCCCCAGGGTAGAGCACAGTGGCCCAGTCAGAGCTCACTGCAGCCTCGAATTTCTGGGCTCAAGCTATCCTCCCACCTAGCCCCCTGAGTAGCTAGGACTACATGTGCGCACCACTACGCCTGGCTAATTAAGAGCAATTTTTTGTTTTTTCAGAGATGGGGTCTTGCTGTGTTGCCCAGGCTGGTCTTCAACACCTAGCCTCAAGCAGTCCTCCCAAAGTGTTGGGATTACAGGTGTGAGCCACTGCACTTGGCCTGGCTGGAATATTCCCACTGTGATAAGATTCTAGTCAAAGTAATGAAACTTGTTTGTATTAGACTGTACAGCTTTATTGAGGATGATTGTATGATTGTTTTTAGGCTTTTTGATATATTTTAAAAGTTCTCCAATACAGCTTTTTGTATCTTACTGGGAATCACTACTTCAGTCCTAAAAGATAGTCTAATTTTTGTTTTTTTCAGTTGAGGGTGGGTTGGCAGAGAGATCAGTGGGATATGTATACCCTTCTCCCTTGCAGTCTGCTCCACAGTCTTATGATTGGAGATAACTACTCTTTCTCAGAAAACCCCTGCAGCCTGCTGGAGTGAACATCCTTTTCCTGGTTATGTATCTTGTTGCTGTGAGGGTACCCCAAACAGTGGTCATTGGCTCCTCCCCAAGGGTATTTTGCCACTGTTAACCATTTTTTTTTTTTTTTGAGAGGAAGTCCCACTCTGTTGCCCAGGCTGGAGTGCAGTGGCACGATCTCAGCTCACTGCAACCTCTGCCTCCCAGGTTCAAGTGATTCTCCTGCCTCAGCCTCCCAAGTAGCTGGCCTTAAAGGTGCCTGCCACCACACCCAGCTAATTTTTTTATTTTTAGTAGAGATGGGGTTTCACCATGTTGGCCAGCTGCTCTCAAACTCCTGACCTCAGGTGATTGGCCTCTCAAAATGCTGGGATTACAGGTGTGAGCCACCGCACCCGGCCAACTTTTTTTTTTATGAGATGGAGTTTCACTCTTGTCGCCCAGGCTGGAGTGCAGTGGCATGGTCATGGCTCACTGCAGCCTCCACCTCCTGGGTTCAAGCAATTCTCCTGCCTCAGCCTCCCAAGTAGCTGGATTACAGGCACCTGCCACCACGCCCAGCTAATTGTTGTATTTTTTAGTAGAGATGAAGTTTCACTATATTGGCCAGGCTGGTCTCGAACTCCTGACCTCAGGTGATCCGCACCCCTCCTCTGCCTGTCAGAGTGCTGGGATTACAGGCGTGAGCCACCATGCCTGCCCAGTTTTAACTTTTATATTAGTGAAGAAACAGTTTTAGGCTGGGCGTGGTATCTCGTGCCTGTAATCTGTGGGAGGATCGCTTGAGCCCAAGAGTTCGAAACCAGTCTGGGCAACATAGGGAGATCTTGTCTCTACAAAAATAAAAACCCATGAGACTTTTTTTTTTTTTTTTTTTTTTGAGACGGAGTCTCACTCTGTCGACCAGGCTGGAGTGCAATGGCACGATCTCAGCTCACTGCAACCTCCGTCTCCCAGATTCACGAAATTCTCCTGCCTCAGCCTCCACACGCCACCACACCCGGCTAATTTTTTGTTTTTTTAGTAGAGATGGGGTTTCACTATATTGGCCAGACTGGTCTTGAACTCCTGACCTCGTGATCCGCCCACCTTGGCCTCCCAAAGTGCTGGGATTACAGGTGTGAGCCACTGCGCCCAGCCCTGAGACTTTTCTATTACATCACTAAATACATTTCTTTGAGTATGCTTATTTGAATGTAAATGAGAAAAGCATCAAGAAAGAGGCCTTTGGGAAGTATATTTGGAAGTGTAATCTTTTTGTGTATGTGTGTATTTCTTTTTTTGAGACAGAGTCTCGCTCTGTCACCCAGGCTAGAGTGCAGTGGTGGTGCAATCTCGGCTCACTGCAACCTCTGCCTCCCAGGTTCAAGTGATTGTTCTGCCTCAGCCTCCCTAGTAGCTGGGACAACAGGCGAGCGCCACCACGCCTGGTTAATTTTTGTATTTTTCGTAGAGACGGGGTTTCACCATACTGGCCAGGCTGGTCTCAAACTCCTGACCTGGTGATCCTCCCGCCTCAGCCTCCCAAAGTGTTGGGATTACAGGTGTGAGCTACCACACCCAGCTGTGTGTATTTCATCATTCAGGAAAATGTTACGCATTTATAGCGGTTTTATGCCACTTTTTTTTTTTTAGATGGAATTTTGCTCTTGTTATGCAGGCTGGAGTGTGATGGCGCCATCTCAGCCGGCTGCAACCTCTGCCTCCCGGGTTCAAGCAATTCTCCTGCCTCAGCCTCCCGAGTAGCTGGGATTACAGGCATGTGCCACCATGCCTAGCTAATTTGTATTTTTAGTAGAGATGGGGTTTCTCCATGTTGGTCAGGCTGGTCTCGAACTCCTGACCTCAGGTGATCCGCCCACTTTGGCCTCCCAAAGTGCTGGGATTACGGGTGTGAGCCCCTGCGCCTGGCCATATGCCACTTTGTAAAAGTAAGTCTTTGACAATATTCTTGTGTTTCAGAGAAAAAAAAATTGTTACTGAAAAGAAAATTCAATCTCTAAAAAGTTCTGATAGTTTGACTGCTTTAATGGGGATGTTCTAAAGCACTTGGTTAATTATTGACTCAAAATTTAGAAGCCAAAAGACATGAATAATAAACTATCTTTTTCTGTTGTAGGTAAAGGGAGAAGATGAGGAAGAGAACAATTTGGAAGTACGTGAAACCAAAATTAAGGGTAAAAGGTAAGCTGACAAACAATATACCTTGTCTCTTGTTAAAGGTTATGTCAGGGTTGGGATCATATGGGATCATAAACTAGGAGAGTTGCTTAGGAAGTGCCTGCTTTATTACAGGGTTTTTTTTTTGTAGAGAGGAGGTCTAGCTATGTTGCCCAGGCTGGTCTTGAACTCCTGAGCTCAAGCCATCCTTCTACCTTGGCCTCTCAAAGTGCTGGGATTACAGGTGTGAACCACTGCATCTGTCCTAGAGGATTTTTTTTTTTTTCTTGAGACAGGGTCTGTTGCCCAGGCTCCATTACTGTGGTGCCATGTTGACTCACTGCAACCTCCACCTCCAGGGCTCAAACCGTCCTTCTCCCTCAGCCTCCCAAATAGGTGGGACTAGAGGTATGTACCACCACACTTGGCTAATATGTGTGTGTGTATATGTATGTATTTTTAGTAGACACCGGGTTTTGCCATGTCACCCAGGCTGGTCTTGAACTCCTGTCCTCAAGCAGTTCTTTGCCTCCCAGAGTCCTAGGATTATAGGCGTGAGTCCATTACGCCCCACCGAGGATGTTTTAATTAATGTATGTGATAATAAGCAACATGCTGTAATATATTCTGGACTCATTTATGACTTCTCATTACTAATGCTGAAATTGGATTCCCCTAAGCAGTGGCAGTTTGTTTTATAGGAAGAAAGTAGTTACTTTCTATATCAGATCAGTTCTCCCTCCTGGTTCCACAGAGCTTTATGTGAGAACTCCAAGCTGTTTGCCTCAGCAAGTATTCTCCTATCTATGATTGGCTACCATTCTGCTTCCATGGGGCAGACAACCTTCCCCCTGGATATCTCACCCCTAAGCCTTCAGGGCATTCAAAGTGGTAACTTCTTTGAAGGCCTACTGTGAAGGCTGGGTGGGGTTAAACTTGCATAGTTGTTTGCTCAGACCTCAGCACCTAGCGTGGAGCCTGGAACTTATTAGTTATTATTATTATTATTTTTTGGAGACAGTGTCTGTTGCCCAGGCTGGAGTGCAGTGGTGCGATGGTTCAAGTGATTCTCTTGCCTCAGGCTCCCGAGTATCTGGGATTACAGGCGTGTGCCACCATGCCCGGCTAATTTTTGTATTTTTTTTTTTTGAGAGAGTTTCGCTCTCTTTGCCTGGGCTGGAGTGCAATGGCGCAATCTTGGCTCACTGCAACCTCCTCCTCCCGGGTTCAAGTGATTGTCCTGTGCAGCCTCCCGAGTAGCTGTGATTACAGGCATGCACCAGCACACCTGGCTAATTTTTGTATTTTTAATAGAGATGGGGTTTCACCATATTGGTCAGGCTGGTCTTGAACTCCTGACCTCAGGTGATCTGCCGCCTCGGCCTCCCAAAATGCTGGGATTACAAATGTGAGCCACCGTGCCCCACAAGTTTTGTGTTTTTAGTAGAGACGGGTTTCCCCATGTTGGCCAGGCTGGTCTCGAACTTCTGACTTCAGGTGATCTGCCTGCCTCAGCCTTCCAAAGTGCGGGGATTACAGGTGTGAGCCACCACTCCTGGCCCCATAGTTTCAATTACTGTGTGATCCTACCTATCTTTGTTTTTTTTTTTTTTTGGAGATGGAGTCTTGGTCTTGTTGCCCAGACTGGAGTGCAGTGGCGTGATCTCGGCTCACTGCAACCTCAGCCTCCTAGGTTCAAGCGATTCTCCTGCCTCAGGCTCCTGAGTAACTGGGATTATAGGCGTCCGCTACCACACCTGGCTACTTTTTGTATTTTTAGTAGAGATGGGATTTCTCCATATTGGCCAGACTGTTCTCCAACTCCTGACCTCAGGTGATCTGCCCGTCTTGGCCTCCCAAAGTGCTGGGATTACAGGTGTGAGCCACTGCTCTTGGCCCTTTTTTCTTTTTTCTTTTTTTTTTGAGACGGAATTTCCCTCTTGTTGCCCAAGCTGAAGTGCAATGGCACGTGATCTCGGCTCACTGCAACCTCCGCCTCTGGGGTTCAAGCGATTCTCCTGCCTCAGCCTCCCAAGTAGTTGGGATTAAGGCGCGTGCTACCACGCCCAGTTAATTTTTTGTAATTTTAGTAGAAATGGGGTTTCACCATGTTAGCCAGGCTGGTCTCGAACTCCTCAGGTGATGCACCCGCCTCGGCCTCCCAAAGTGTTGGGTTACAGTTGTGAGCCACTGCGCCTGACCCCTTTTTTTCTTGTATGTGAGTATATCTATTCTTTTCTTTTTTGTGAGTTGGAGTCTCGGTCTGTCACCCAGGCTGGAATGCAGTGGTGCGATCTTGGCTCACTGCAACCTCTGCCTCCCAGGCTCAAGTGATTCTACTGTCTCAGCCTCCCGAGTAGCTGGGATTACAGGTGTTCACCACCACGCCCAGCTAATTTTTTTGTATTTTTAGTAGAGAGAGGGTTTCACTATGTTGGCCAGGCTGGTTTTGAATTCCTGACCTCAGGTGATCCACCTGCCTTGGCCTCCCAGAGTGCTAGGATTACAGGTATCAGCCACTACCTGGCCACCTTTTTTGTTTTCTGTGTTATCTTCATAGTTGTCTTTCTTTGGTTGTTAAGTTTAATCCTTGAATTACTTTGAGTTCATGTACAGCAACATCCTCTCAGGAGCCACATTTTAATGCGTGGTGATTATCTCAATTTTTCTTGGTGATTATCTTGATTTTCCACTGAGTGTATGAAGTAGGCATCTCACCAGCCCCGAGGCTGTAAGATCTGAGAGTTAGCTTTAAATAAGTCGCTATTAAAATTGCTTTCTCTTGCTTTAAGAGACTCCTCTCCCTCTCTGAGGCTGTCTGAGTACCCTGTCTGTGTTTATTGGCTCTAGCTGCTGGCTTGTAGCGTCTTGGATAGGCAAGGTAACTTAGTTATTAGGACTGTGCTTTTTGCATCTTTACTGCCTGGGATCAAATCCTAGCTCTGTTATGTTTACTAGCATTTTCCTCAGTTTCCTCATCAGTAAAATAATAGTGTTTACCTGATATGATCATGGCTAAGAGTCACTAAATTGGCCAGGCGTGGTGGCTCACGCCTGTAATCCCAGCACTTTGGGAGGCCGAGGCAGGCAGATCACCTGAGGTTGGGAGTTCGAGACCAGCCTGACCAACATGGAGAAACCCCATCTCTACTAAAAATGCAAAAAAGTTAGCCAGGAGTGGTGGTGCATGCCTGTAACCCCAGCTACTCGGGAGGCTGAGGCAGGAGAACCACTTGAACCGGGAGGCAGAGGTTCCGGTGAGCCGAGATTATGCCATTGCCAGCCTGGGCAACAAAAGCAAAACTCCGTGTCAAAAAAAAAAAAAAAAAAAAAGATTCACTAAATCAATATATATATAATGTACTTGGAGCCTTAGTAAGCACTTAATAAATTTTGAATTAATCACAAAGAAGGCTAATGGAATGGAAGGAACATTTCAGGCAGAGATATCTGTAAAGATACGGAGGGTTGACATTTCATGGTGTGTTTAGTTAACTGGGCTTTCAGAGTGGCTCTTGCTCAGAGGAAGGTGAAGCTGTGTAGGGTGGGTTGAGTTCAGTTTAAGGACTGCTCTGAACCATTATTAAAGGCGTGGGCTTTATCCTTAAAGCCCACAGTTGGGAACATTAAAAAATTTTTTTTCATAGCTTACCATTTTATTCATTTCTAGTTATATGTGCATACATTATATGAATTTGTCTTTATCACCTCTTCCTGCCACAGAAACTGACCTATATGGGGTTCTCAGTAAATCAGTTTGAGTACATGAGTAAAAAACCAAGTCATTCACACAATGTTCTCCCATTAGATCCAGCTAGAGAAGAGCTTTAGGAAAAAAAAAAAAGACCTGCTCCATGTACATCAGTTTAGACAGTTCTGTGTTGTCTAGCCTTTTATTGATTGAAAAACCTTCATTAGCTGGTGCTTCCACATTTTGGTAAGACTTGATGTTCCTAATGATCTTGGAGTGCTGAAAGGTTCTGATTTGTCTTCTGAATTATCAAAGCAAAATTAAATTATGTGGCAGCATTTAACAACTTGTAAAATGAATGTGGGAATGTTGATTTGAGATTGTGTAGATGGGCTGGGGGGAAGGGAGATTAGGAGATTAATAGGAAGAGATGCAGTAGTCTAGGCACATGGTATTGGTTTGAATGGAGGAGGAGGCAAAGGAAGGGATGGGTCTGAGAGGAATTTCTGAGGCAGGATTGCCCAGGTATTGGGGACAGGGCAGAGTGAGGCATCAGAAGATGCCTGGGTTTCTAGCTTAGAGTTGATCAGATGGCAGTGGTATTAAGAGAGATCAAGACTTGGGATCATGAATGATAAGGTTTTGTTGAATTGCATGTGGGGTGGTCAGTGGAGCTGTCTAGTAAACATTTGAAAATTTGATTTTAGAATTCAGGACAGAGAGTGGGATGAGAAGCACATTTGGGACTTGAAACTAAGAATTGGTTAAGACTGTCCTGAGGAGAAGATTCCGCTACTTATATTTTGAGTAGTGAACGTCACAGTTGTAATATGAAATATAATGGTGTGACTGATAAAGACATGCAAGTTTTGTGTTCTATAAAGTCATATCAGGAAGAGTGATCCATGTTCTCACCTTTGAGGACAAACTCATTGAAGCTTATTAATTCAATTTTTCACTAGTGGTTTCTACGTCTTCTAAAAATTGTTCTCCTGGCTTGGAAAACTGATTCAGTTTAGAATTAGTACCCTGTGAATTTTAAGTTTCCAGGCCATCTGTTTTTCTTTTTTTTCCTTTTTTGAGATGGATTCTCGCTCCGTCACCCAGGCTGGAGTGCAGTGGCACAATCTCGGCTCACTGCAACCTCCGCCTCCCAGGTTCAAGCAATTCTCCTGTCTCAGCCTCCCGAGTATCTGGGACTACAGGCGCCTGCCACCACGCCCGGCTAATTTTTGTACTTTTAGTAGAGACAGGGTTTCACCTTGTTGGTAAGGCTGGTCAGCCATCTGTTTTTCTTTAAAATATTAGTAGCTTTATTTTTTTCTTGATATGAGGATGATACAAGCTCCTTATAAGACAAATTAGGGCCTGGCGCAGTGGCTCATGCCTGTAATCCCAGCACTTTGGGAGCCCGAGGCGGGTGTATCACCTGAGGTCAGGAGTTCAGACCATCCTGGCCAACGTGGCGAAATCCCCTCTGTACTAAAAACACAAAAATTAGCTGGGCGTGGTGGCGGACGCCTGTAATCCCAGCTACTGGGGAGGCTCAGGTAGGAGAATCACTTGAACCCAGCAGGCGGAGGTTGCGGTGAGCCAAGATTGTGCCATTTCACTCCAGCCTGGGCTACAAGAGTAAGACTCCGTCTCAAAAAATAATAATAATAAAAAATAAAATGAAATTGGAAAAGACAAACTAAACTTATTCTACAACCTTGAGACAGTTACCATTAACATTTTGTTGAACATTCCTTGAAATACTATTCTTTACATTCATTCATTTTTTTTTTTTTTTTTTTCTTGAGACGGTATCTCGCTCTGTCGCCCGGCTGGAGTGCAGTGGCACGATCTCGGCGCACTGCAAGCTCCGCCTTCCGGGTTCACATCATTCTCCTGCCCCAGCCTCCTGAGTAGCTGGGACTACAGGTGCCCGCCACAACGCCCGGCTATTTTTTTTTGTATTTTTAGTAGAGATGGGCTTTCACTGTGTTAGCCAGGTTGGTCTTGATCTCCTGACCTCGTGATCCACCCATCTCGGTCTCCCAAAGTGCTGGGATTACAGGCGTAAGCCACCCTCCCCGGGTCTATGTATGTTTTTAAATGGAGTTATTCTTTGTCATTTGTAAACAGATTTTCGTTATTTACATTGTACATGGACATCTTTCCATGTTAATATAGATATGTAGGTTAGCCATATTTCTAATGACTGCCAATATTCTATTGTGTGAAGCCATATTTCTAACGACTGTCAGTATTCTGTTGTGTGGTTCTATTAAAATTTTTTTTTTTGAGATGGAGTCTCTCTCTGTCACCCAGGCTGGAGTGTAGTGGCGCTATCTTGGCTCACTGCAACCTCCGCCTCCCGGGTTCAAGTGATCCTCCCACTTCAACCTCTCAAGTAGCTGGGACTACAGGTGTGCACCACCACGCCCAGCTAATTTTTGTATTTTTAATAGAGACAGGGTTTTGCCATGTTGGCCAGGCTGGTCTGGAACTCCTGACCTCAGGAAATTCACCTGACTTGGCCTCCCAAAGTGCTGGGATTACAGGCATGAGCCACTGCACCCAGCCAAGAGATCACCTTTAATATAGTAATTTAAGTCTTTTATTAACAGGACATGGTGGCAGGTGCCAGTAGTCCCAGCTACTCGGGAGGCTGAGGCAATAGAATCTCTTGAACCTGGGAGGTGGAAGTTGCAGTGAGCTGAGATCATGCCACTGCACTCCAGCCTGGGCGACAGAGCAACACTCTGTCTCAAAAAAAGAAAAAAATAATTTAAGTCTTCTAAGACAGATATGTAGCTGTTTCTCTCAGGGCTGTTTATAAATAGCAAGAGTGTAAAACAGTGTAAATGTTCAACAATGGAACAAAAGTTAAAAACATTCTAATAGGTAATCCCAGCTATTCGGGAGGTTGAGGCAGGAGAATCGCTTGAACCCAAGAGGTGGAGGTTGTGGTGAGCCGAGATCGCACCATTGCACTCCAGCCTGAGTGATAGAGTGAGACTCCATCTCAAAAAGGAAAAGGTGATCTCTTAAAGATAATTGCTTTTGTCTTTGGTTCAAAATTTTGTTGTGACTTTGAACTGCTACTACTGTTTTCAGTATCCTCAGTCTCTCTTACTTCTCTTGCCTTGTTCTTCCTTTAGTGGGAGATTCTTCACAGTCAAGCTCCCAGTTGCTCTTGATCCTGGGGCCAAGATTTCAGTCATTGTGGAAACAGTCTACACCCATGTGCTTCATCCGTATCCAACCCAGATCACCCAGTCAGAGAAACAGTTTGTGGTGTTTGAGGGGAACCATTATTTCTACTCTCCCTATCCAACGAAGACACAAACCATGCGTGTGAAGCTTGCCTCTCGAAATGTGGAGAGCTACACCAAGCTGGGGAACCCCACGCGCTCTGAGGACCTACTGGATTATGGGCCTTTCAGAGATGTGCCTGCCTATAGTCAGGTAAGCTCAGGTGGAGTCCAGCCCATCCCTGTCTGCTTCAGAGAATGTCTTGCAGAGTGACTACTGGTTGATAGGCTTGGGTGGTGTGGGGTGGATGAAATCTGCAGTCATTTCTAAGGTCATCCCAAAAGTGTTTAACCTGCAGTGAAATGACTCCATGGGGGTCTTGTTTCTCCTTGGGGGATCACAGGTAGAGGCTAGGGGTAGCATTTGGAGAGGTGGAATGGGTGTTGGAGATGGAAGCAAGGCATTCCACGCAGAGGCAGTAAGAGGGACAAAGGCTTTGAGATGGTGTGGCTGGGCAGATACTGGGGTAGCAAAGCTGTTGGAGTGGTTGAGGGCCTTCCTTGAATGTTGGGCCTTGGTTGGAACTTGAAGAGAGAGGGAGCAATTAAGGCTTACAAAGATTTTGTTACTATGGCAAATCGCAAACATGCCAAAGTACAAAGACTAGTATAAACTCCCACACACGTCACTTAGATTCAGCGGTTATCAGGTTACCATAATTAACCTACCTCTTTTTTTCTTTGGTGGAGTACTTAAAAAAATTTTTTTTTTTAAGAGACAGGATCCTGCTCTGTTGCCCAGCCTGGAGTACAGTGGCATAATCATAGCTCACTGTAACCTCAAACTCCTGGGCTCAGTCCATCCTCCCAGCTCAGCCTCCCATGTAGCTGGAGTGACAGGTGTGCGTCACCATGCCCAGTTAATTTTTTATTTTTGTTGTAGAGACGGGATCTTGCTTTATTGCCCAGGCTAGTCTCAAACTCCTGGGCCCAGGTGATCTTCCTGCCTTTGTCTCCCAAAGTGCTGGGATTACAGGCATGAGCCATGGTCCCTGGCCTTTTTGCTAGAGGATTTTAAAGCAAATCTCAGCAGTCATGTCTTTTTACCTACTTCTATACCATCTCTAAAAAATATGGGTATTTTAGACGTTTAAGATTTCTTTGCACTGGGTGCAGTGGCTCATGCCTATAATCCTAGCACTTTGGGAGGCCAATATGGGAGGATTATTTGTGCCCAGGAATTCAAGACCAGTCTGGGCAACATAGTGAGACCTCATTTTTACAAAAAATAATAAGCTGGGCATGGTGACACACTCCTGTAGTCTCAGCTACTTGGGAGGCTGAGGTGGGAGGATTACTTGAGCCCAGGAGGTTAATGCTGCAGTTAGCTATGATTGCACCACCCCACTCTAAAAAAAAGATGTCTTTGCATCTCTCTGTGTGTTTAGAACATGTGTCACCAAGGATGTGCAATCAAAATACTTTGTTCTAATGCTACTTGAAATAATTGTTTCTTTTTTTTTTTTTGTCTTTATTTTATTTTATTTTTTTTGAGAAGGAGTCTTGATCTGTCATTCAGACTGGAGTGCAGTGGGGCGATCTCAGCTAACCGCAACCTCTGCCTCCTGGGTTCAAGCAATTCTCCTACCTCAGCCTCCTGAGTAGCTGGGATTACAGGTGCCCGCTACCACACCTGGCTAATTTTTGTATTTTTTGTAGAGACGGGGTTTCTCCATGTTGGCCAGGCTGGTCTTGAACTCCTGAGCTCAGGTGATCCGCCTGCCTCGGCCTCCCAAAGTGCTGTGATAGCAGGTGTGAGTCACTGCGCCCAGCCTGTTTTTTATGTTTCAAATGTCAGTTTGATACATAGTTAGGGCTGTTCGTTTTGGGTTGTTTTAAACTTTTAAGAACTTTTTATTAACATAATTTTTTGAATATGAAAACAACATGATTTCGTAGTCAAAATTACATATAACAAGTTATGTGTAACAAAATCATATAACAAGTTATATGTAACAAAATCATATATAACAAGTTATGTGTAACAAAATCATATATAACAAGTTGTATGTAACAAAATCATATATAACAAGTTGTATGTAACAAAATCATACATAACAAGTTGTATGTAACAAAATTATACATAACAAGTTTTATATAACAAGTTAAAAGGCCAGGTGCATATATATATATGTATATATGGCCTTATATATATAAGTGCACTTATATATTTATATATATACACACACGTATATATATAAGGCCAGGTGTACCATTTTGTTTTTTATATATACACGTGTGTGTGTGTGTGTGTGTGTGTGTATATCTATAGATATCTATAGATATCTATATATATATATATATATATATATCTATATATATATATATATATATATATATCTCAAGTTATAGGGGCAGGCGCACTGGCTCACGCCTGTAATCCCAGCACTTTGGGAGGCTGAGGCGGGCAGATCACTTGAAGCTAGGAGTTCAAGACCAGCCTGGCCAACGTGGTGAAACCCCATCTCTACTAAAAATACAAAAATTAGCTGGGTGTAGTTGCACTCAACTCTAGTCCCATCTACTAGGGAGGTTGAGGTACGAGAACTGCTTGAACCCAGGAGGTAGGGGTTGCGGTAGCCAAGGTTGTGCCACTGCACTCCAGCCTGGGCAACAGAGCAAGACTCTGTCTCCAAAAAAAAAAAATAATAGAGAATTCTTGCTTCCAATTCTCCCATTCATTTGTTCTCCTTGGTAACCATTTATGTTAGCTTTAGGTTTATTCTTCTAGTGTTTCCTTCTAAATGTATGAGGATTTGTAGTAAACATACTTATATTCCTCCATGTCTCAAAACATAGCTCCCT
The DNA here is from genome assembly GCF_000001405.40 of Homo sapiens. Classification (NCBI taxonomy): domain Eukaryota; kingdom Metazoa; phylum Chordata; class Mammalia; order Primates; family Hominidae; genus Homo; species Homo sapiens. The sequence goes on along the minus strand of NC_000003.12, from coordinate 128,635,147 downwards.
ATGTATATTGTTGCACGGTGGGGTTGTTTTTGGGGAGAGAGAGGGTCTCTGTGCCTCCTGTTGTGGTTGCAGAGTGCCCAGGGCCCACGTGCCCACTGTGAAGATGACAGCCTTGCCACTCTGAGCTGTGCTTTCTCTAACTGCATGATTTCTTTTACTTACTTCAAACTGAGTGAGAGTTCATGTTGGGACACTGATTTGATTTTCCTCTACGCAGGCTTTTAAAAATATAAATATTTGGGGTTTTCCACTTTCCTCCATTTTAAGTTAATAGAACGTTCATGAGAGGCTGGGTGCGGTGGCTCAGGTCTGTAACCCTGGCACTTTAGGAGGCCAAGGTTGGCGGATCACGAGGTCAGGAGTTCGAGACCAGCCTGGCCAACATGGTGAAACCCCGTCTCTACTAAAGATAAAAAAATTAGCTGAGCATGCTGGCGTGCACCTGTAATTCTAACTACTTGAGAGGCCGAGGCAGGAGAATCACTTGAACCTGGGAGGTGGAAGTTGCAGTGAGCCAAGATCGCGTCATTGCACTCCAATCTGGGCGACAGGGTGAGAGTTTGTCTCAAAAAAAAAAAAAAAAAGGTTTATGGAGACCATTTGGCAAAAAGGAAGATTTGAGGTCAGTTCACAACCACTATCGACACTATGGACATTTTAGTACCTGAGTCGTGTCTAAGCATAGGGCTTTTTAATGTACTTATTATGCTTATTGTCATATTATGTATAAAGTATTGTGTAATACCTTTGCCACTTAGAATATTCTCTAAACATTTTACATATTACTACATTACCTTTGTCAACCTTTTTTTTTTTTTCCTTAAGACAGGGTCTTACTCTCGCCCAGGCTGGAGTGTAGTGGTGCAATCTCAGCTCACTGCAACCTCTGCCTCTTGAGTTTAAGTGATTCTCCCACCTCAGCCTCCCCAGTAGCTGGGACTTACAGGCATGTGCGACCATGCCTGGCTAATTTTTGTATTTTTTGTTAGAGACAGGGTTTCACCATGTTGGCCAGGCTGGTCTCAAACTCCTGACCTCAAGTGATCTACCCACTTTGGCCTCCCAAAGTGCTGGGATTACAAGTGTGAGCCACTGTGCCCGGCTGGCCTGTAAACAGTTTTTTTGTTTTGTTGTTTTTGTTTTTGTTTGTTTATTTGTTTTTTTTGAGAGACAGTCTCGCTCTGTTGCCCAGGCTGGAGTGCAGTGGCACAATCTCGGCTCACTGCAGCCTCCGCCTCCCGGGTTCAAGCGATTCTCCTACCTCAGCCTCCTTAGTATCTGGGACTACAGGCGCCCATCACCACACCTGGCTAATTTTTCTATTTTTAGTAGAGACGGGGTTTCACCATATTGGCCAGGCTGGTCTCAAACTTCTGACCTTGTGATCTGCCCGCCTTGGCCTCCCAAAGTTTCACTGTGCCCAGCCTGTAAACCGTTTTTAAGTGGCTGACTCACTGATTTGATGTCCTAGAGCTTATTTGCCAAGTTTCTATAGTTAAACAGTTTTTTTCTATTTAATATTATAATATACATCTCTGCATATTATACAAAAGTTATGAATTTTTGTATTCTCAGGATTTTCTGAAGTAATGTTTTTCAAATTGAAGGATATGAACATTTTAAAATCTCTTGCTGGTTGGGCACAGTGGCTTATGCTTGTAATCCCAGCACTTTGGGAGGTCAAGGTGGGTAGATTGCTTGAGACCAGCTTGGGGAACATGGTGAAATTCCATGTCTACAAAAAATACAAAAAATTAGCTGGGCGTGGTGGCATGCACCTGGAATCCCAGCCACTCATGGGGCTTGAGGTGGGAGGATTGCTTGAGCCCAGGAGGTTGAGACTGCATTGAGCCAAGATTGTGCCACTGTACTCCAGCCTGGGTGACAGAGTGAGACCGTTTATAATTTAAAAAAAAAAAGAAAAAAAAAGAAAAACCTCTTGCTGTATTTTGCCAAGTAGTTTTTCAAAAGATTTAATCAATTTTTTAGGATTCCAGTGTGTGAAACTGCCGGTTTCCTTATGCCCTTGCTTGTACTGGCATTAAATGCTATCAAATATGATTATGAGTGAATTGTAGTTTTAAAAATCTAGTCATAGAATGAGTGAATAAACTAGCGAATAAACTAGTTGTAAGAGCTAACAAAATAGATCTTGTCCTTTTCATGGACTTTTGGGAAGCAAGGTGTGTTGGGCCTTATTGAGAGGTAGTATTTACCACATAGAAGAGTGAAATCGGGCTGGGCACGATGGCTTGCTGGGCACGGTGGCTCATGCCTGTAATCCCAGCACTTTGGTAGGCCAAGGTGGGCAGATCACCTGAGGTCAGGGGTTCGAGACCAGCTTGGCCAACATGGTGAAACCCCATCTCTACTAAAAATACAAAAATTAGCCAGATGTGGTGGCACACGCCTGTAATCCCAGCTACTAGGGAGGCTAAGGCAGGAGAATCGCTTGAACCCAGGAGGCGGAGGTTGCAGTGAGCTGAGGTTGTACCATTGTACTCCAGCCTGGGTGACAGAGCAAGACTCTGTCTCAAAAAGAAAGAAAAAAAAGTGAAGTCAGAACTTAGCAGACCTTGTATTGCCACTTAGGTTTATGACCTTGAACAAGATATTGGAAACTGCCAGGGCTTGAAATTTTTATTTGTCAAATGGGGATAAGTAGTTCTTATTTCATCATATTGTCTTGAGAATGAGATGAGATAATGCACTTATTTAGAACTCTTACAAAACTGCCTAATACAATCAGCTCCAGACACATTATTTTTTTGTGTCCTATTTTTTGAGTTAATAATATATCATGAATATTTATTCCCATATGTTAGCAAGAAGTCCTAGTAAACATAATTTTAAAATGTTGCATACGTTAGATACATCATAATTTACCCGTTCTGTTGCTGATATATAGGTTGTCTCCAATCAATCTGATTTAAACTAATGGTGCATTCTCTGTTGCCAAAACTTTGAACTATTTGTTTCCTTCCTTCCAGGATACTTTTAAAGTACATTATGAGAACAACAGCCCTTTCCTGACCATCACCAGCATGACCCGAGTCATTGAAGTCTCTCACTGGGGTAATATTGCTGTGGAAGAAAATGTGGACTTAAAGCACACAGGAGCTGTGCTTAAGGGGCCTTTCTCACGCTATGATTACCAGAGACAGCCAGATAGTGGAATATCCTCCATCCGTTCTTTTAAGGTATGGAATGTTCAACTTGGACATTGTGAGAAATGAGGACTTTATCACAGCTACCTATTCTTTGCTTTTCGAAACTAGCTAAATATTTAGGCAGTTGTTTAGGGTTGACTGATGTTCATCTTGTTGATTGGCAGTGTTAGAAACCAACAGAATCTTAAAAAATACCCCCCCATATATATAGATAAGCCATTTTCTTTTTTTTCTTTGAGACAGAGTCTCACTCTGCCACCCAGGCTGGAGCATAGTGGCGTGATCTCTGCTCATTGCAGCCTCCGCCTCCTGGGTTCAAGTGATTCTTCTGCCTCAGACTCCTGAATAGCTGGGATTACACGCATGCACCACTACACCTGGCTAATTTTTGTATTTTTAGTAGAGACAGGATTTCACCATGTTGGCCAGGCTGGTCTTGAACTCCTGGCCTCAAGTGATCCACCTGCCTTGGCTTCTCTTTCTTTTTTTTTTTTTTCTTGAGACGGAGTTTTGCTCTTGTTGCCCAGGCTGGAGGGCAATGGCGCGATCTCGGCTCGCCACAACCTCCGCCTCCCAGGTTCAAGCAATTCTCCCGCCTCAGCCTCCCGAGTAGCTGGGATTACAGGCATGCACCACCAAGCCTGGCTAATTTTTTTTTGTATTTTTAGTAGAGACAGGGTTTCTCCATGTTGGACAGGCTGGTCTCGAACTCCTGACTTCAGGTGATCCGCCCACTTCGGCCTCCCAAAGTGCTGGGATTACAGGCATGAGCCACCGCGCCCGGCCGCCTTGGCCTCTCAAAGTGCTGGGATTACAGGCGTGAGCCACCATGCCCAGCCTAAACCATATATTTTTTTTTTTTTTGGAGACAGAGTCTCGCTCTATTGCCCAGGCTGGAGTGTAGTGGCACGATCTCGGCTCACGGCAAGCTCTGCCTCCCGGGTTCATGCTATTCTCCTGCCTCAGCCTCCCGAGTAGCTGGGACTACAGGCGCCCGCCACCATGCCCAGCTAATTTTTTGTGTTTTTAGTAGAGACGGGGTTTCACCATGTTAGCCAGGATGGTCTCGATCTTCTGACCTTGTGATCCGCCCGCCTCGGCCTCCCAAAGTGCTGGGATTACAGGCGTGAGCCACCGTGCCCGGCCTAAACCATATTTTTTAAGTGAAAATTTGAATAGAAAAAGGAAAAGCATATTCATAGTACTGCGCCACCCAAACACAGCTGTCATTTTGATCTATTTCTTTGTTCTTTTGTAGTGTTTTTAAAAAACATTTTATCATATTGCATATACAGTTTTTAAATCTTTTTTGTCCCATAAATGAAATCTTATAAACTTTTTTTTTTACTTATGTATGATAGAAGGGGTCAGTATGTGAACAAAGGTATTATACCTTCCTCCCATGATCAAAATACACTGACAGATTTGGAAGATACAATAAAGTATATCAGGTAGAAAAACCCTTTCTGTAACCCTACCACCTAGTAATTTGATGAAATTTCTTCCGTCTTCTATCTTTACTTTTCTTCTCTGCAAAATAACTTGCAAGATTATTTTTACCTTTGTATTAAGTCTTCAATGTTCACAAAGGTATTTGCATTTCCCTTAATTATTTACTGTTTAGAAGAATTTGGGTAGTTAGCACCCTTGATTGAGAAGTCGACGCAAACCTTTGTGGGGAAAGTTAGACTTTTTTAGGTTGTTTATGTTTGGGGACTATTTTAATTAAGTAGTACCATGTGAGGATCTTGGTGCAGGAAGTCTTCTGTGTTTAGGATCATTTCCTCTCAGCTGGTTCCTGGAGTTTTAGAAGGGCATATCCACTCTCTTGCAGACCATCCTTCCTGCTGCTGCCCAGGATGTTTATTACCGGGATGAGATTGGCAATGTTTCTACCAGCCACCTCCTTATTTTGGATGACTCTGTAGAGATGGAAATCCGGCCTCGCTTCCCTCTCTTTGGCGGGTGGAAGACCCATTACATCGTTGGCTACAACCTCCCAAGCTATGAGTACCTCTATAATTTGGGTCAGTCTTCAATAGTAAGGGAGAAACTAACCTTTTCTTTAATTTCGTGAATTTTTTTCTTTCAATTATCAGTCTTTATAGATGGGGTGTGTTCATTTGTCATTCTGAGGAAGGCTGGTTTTATCAGGAACAACTTTTTATAAGTGGGTACGAGTTAGTATTGTAAAAGTAATACATGCATTTGATAGTCAATCCGAACAGTATGTAAAAGTCTTCTTCTTACTTGCAGTTCTGTCATCAGATGGAACCGCTGAAATTCCTTTAAATAGTTTTTGAGTTATTTAAAAAATGAAAATTCAGAGAATAATAAAAAACACTTTTATATGAACACCCAGAACTAATGATTGAAAACATTTTGTCATATTTTCTTTCAAGTCTTTCTTTTTTTTGAGACGGAATCTCACTCTTGCCACCCAGGCTGGAGTGGAATGGTGCGATTTTGGCTCACTGCAACCTCCACCTCCTGGTTCAAGCGATTCTCCTGCCTCAGCCTCCTGAGTAGCTGGGATTATAGGTGCCCGCCACCACGCTCAGCTAATTTTTTGTATTTCTAGTAGAGATGGGGTTTCACCATGTTGGCCAGGTTGGTCTTGAACTCCTGACCTCAGGTGATCCACAGGCCTCGGCCTCCCAAAGTGCTAGGATTATAGGTGACAGCCACCATGCCCGGCCAAGTCTTTTTTTTAAACCTTTTTACTGAAAAATAAGATACAGAAAACCATACAAAAAATGTATAGCTCAGTGAATTATTATGAGGAAGACCTTGTGCCGCTCCCCACCCCCTCCTGTCAAGAAATCAAAATTTGCTAGCTACTCAAAAAGTGTTCCATGTACCTCTTCCTTCTCAAAGTCATTGCCCCGACTTTGAGTAATCACTTTCTTGAATATCTTTGTAGTTTTATCACCCAAGTGTATATCTCTACATACTATACCTTAGTTTTGCCCTTTTCAATCTATTCAATTTGCCTTATCTATTAATCTGCAGTTAATACCTACATCTGTTTTTCTTGGCTTGATCTTCACTCACTGCAACCTCTGCCTCCTAGGTTCAAGCGATTCTCTTGCCTCAGCCTCCCGAGTAGCTGAGACTACAGGCACCCGCCATCATGCCTGGTTATTTTTTGTATTTTTAGTAGAGATGGGGTTTAACTACGTTGGTCAGGCAGGTTTTGAACTCCTGACCTCAAGTGATCTGCTCGCCTTGGCCTCCTAAAGTGCTGGGATTATAGGTGTAAGCCACTGTGCCAGGCCTGTTTTTTCATTTAAAACTTTTCTGGGAGGCTGAGGTGGGAGGATTGCTTGCACTCAGGAGTTTGAGACCAGCCGGGGCAACATGGTGAAAACGGGTCTCTACAAAAAAATTTTTAAAAATGAAAAATTATCTGGCTCACACCTGTAGTCTCAGCTACTCGGGAGGCTGAGGCAGGAGTAACACTTGAGTCCAGGAAGTTGCCCTTTAGCCTGGGTGACAGAGCAAGACCCTGTCTCTAAAAAATAATTAAAGTTGCTTTTCTTTGCATTTATGTTAAAGCATTATTATTTGTTGTTATTCACTCTAATCCATCTTAATTAGCCTTAATTCCTAAAATGCCTCTTTTATTTCTAAATTTTTTTCCTGATTTCTATCATTTTTCTGAATTTTTCTTTTTTTTTTTTCTGTCTCACTTTGTTGCCCAGGCTGGAGTGCAGTGGAGCGATCTCAGTTCACTGTAACCTCCCAGGCTGGAGTGCATTGGCGCGATCTCAGCTCATTGCAACCTCCGCCTCCTGGGTTCAAGAGATTCTCCTGCCTCAGCTTCTGGAGTAGCTGGGACTACAGGCATGCACCACTACGCCCAGCTAATTTTTTATTTTTAGTAGAGATGGGGTTTCACTATGTTGGCCAGGCTGGTCTCGAACTCCTGACCTCAGGTGATCCACCCACCTCAGCCTTCCAAAGTGCTGGGATTACAGGAGTGAGCCACCGCGCCCGGCCTGAATTTTTCTAATTATTGTTTACATTGTTCTTGCATGACTTACATGATTTTATTAATACCTTTAGCTTGTTTTGGAATAGCAGGAGCAGTCTCCTGGTTCGTTTTTATGGGCGTCTTGCTGGCATGTTTTCATTTTCTTACAGGGGTGTTCTTGTTTTCATCCCATTTTTCTTATATAACTTAATCTTTTTTTTTTTTTTTTTTGAGATGGAGTCTTGCACTGTTTCCCAGGCTGGAGTACGGTGGCACAATCTCAGCTTACTGCAACCTCCACCTCCTGGGTTCCAGTGATTTTCTTACCTCAGCTTCCCAAGTTGCTGGGATTACAGGCATGTGCCACCACACCTGACTAATTTTTATAGTTTTAGTAGAGATGGGGTTTCACCATGTTGGCCAGGCTGGTCTTGAACTCCTGACCTCAGGTGATCTGCCTGCCTCTGCCTCCCAAAGTACTGGGATTACAGGCATGAGCCACTGTCTGTTGATCATTTTTAATGTGACCTTTCCGAAGGAGGGATGGTTTAGAGTGGCTTTTGTACCTTCCCAGATCTCTGCTATTTTAGTGCAAAAACATGTGGCTTGCTTTCTGAGCTTTCCTCTGTGCGGTTTTTGAGTTCCATTGTCCCTATCATGTTCATTTTTGATTGTGTTGAGCAGTTTCTCCTCACTGTAGGGCACTGTCCCAGAAGGGGAGTTCTGCTCTCAGGGACTAGACTGCTGCAGACTCGTAGACCTTCTGCAGGCCCGTTTCACTCACCATTAGGCAGGGCACAACTGCTCCGAGTTTCAGCCACTCCTCACACTGGCCTGCTGTGCTCTCTAGGGAATCCCGGTTGTGTGTTTTGGGGTTCTGCTGTTCTCAAGCCCATCAGTTGCCCTGTTTCTTCTCTCTGCGTTCTCCTTCACAGACACTGATAACGTGAAGGTCTTGTGGCTGTCGGTGTTTTGACCCCCATCCCTGTCTCTGTGTTGTGGGGTTCAGTAGAGATACTTTGTTGCCTGGTTTTGTTGTAAACATGGTCCGTGGGTTTTTGGTTTTGCTGTCTACTTGCTCTGTCTTTATGTGAGCCCCTGTACTTCTTTCTCTCCTGCCCATTTGATCCGTTTTCCACATCATTGCTTATGCTTGCTTGATCCTTCAGGTGACCAGTATGCACTGAAGATGAGGTTTGTGGACCATGTGTTTGATGAACAAGTGATAGATTCTCTGACTGTGAAGATCATCCTGCCTGAAGGAGCCAAGTGAGTGTGACTGTTCCTCTCCTTTGCACCCGATTTCTCTGGTTGTACCCTTGTGGTACCCTAAGGAGAGCCTATGTTCTAGGGGCACAGTCTTTGTGTCACTTTTCTCTAGATTTACTTTATCAGGGAACATCTACTTGGCCTCTCTTGAGTCACATGTCCACTCTGACTGCCAGAATGAGAGACCCCTTGATTTTCTTCCTGTGGAGAATGTTCCATAGTGGAAGAGTAGTTCCTCATGCAAATCCAGGCTGTGCTGTTTACCAGGAGAAGGGACAGTGGGCCTGGGCAGACAAAAGCAGGACATGTCCCCTGCCCCGTAAGAAGCTCTTATTCATGTGAAGAGAAAGAACATTCAGAACAGCTCGTGAGGCATCTGTTCAAGCCTCCCAGGGATTCACTGGGTAGGATGTACAGGAGAGCTGTGTCAACTTTGTGACTCCAAGGAGTGGGGCCAGTACTGGTGAGAACTTGGGAGTGGAGGATTCAGAGGGACAGTTGTTGCCCCAGCAGACAAGGGCTTTAAAACAAAGGGCTTTCTGGCACTGGCTCCCCTGTCTCAAGAGAGTGGGTGTTCTCCATAGCTGAGAAGGGAGCAGAGTGGAGGAGTGTGAATTTAGTGATCTTGAAAGGCTCCTTAGCCTTGGAATTCTCTGATCCTAAATCTGGTTTATTGATGTAGTTGGTTGGAGGCTATATTTTATTCCCATCTTCTTCCAGGAACATTGAAATTGATAGTCCCTATGAAATCAGCCGTGCCCCAGATGAGCTGCACTACACCTATCTGGACACATTTGGCCGCCCTGTGATTGTTGCCTACAAGAAAAATCTGGTAGAACAGCACATTCAGGACATTGTGGTGAGTGGCTCCACTGTTTGCCTTCCATGGCGTCTTCCCCAGACAGTGGGCTCTGGGGGCCAAGAACTCACCTTCTGTCCCTCCTTGGGCTGGAGTCATTTGAGCTCATGGCGTCTTCTGGTCTTGGGGTGGGGCAGCAGGTCGAGTGGGCCAGCCTGGGTGAGTCTAGGCTCCCATGTCCCTACAGCCCCGATGAAGCCTGTCCTCTTGCTTCTCCCAGGTCCACTACACGTTCAACAAGGTGCTCATGCTGCAGGAGCCCCTGCTGGTGGTGGCGGCCTTCTACATCCTGTTCTTCACCGTTATCATCTATGTTCGGCTGGACTTCTCCATCACCAAGGTACCGTCTCTGCCTTCTTCCTGCTTGTCATTTGTGTCCTTGGTAATATTTCACCAGCTTGAGCACTGATCCTCACAGTGAGCCCAGGGCAGGACGCCATGGCCAAAAGACCCCTGCCTGTGCTCATCCTTGCCGGAAGGGTACTTTGTTTTTGTTGCTTGTGGTCACTAGCACAGGAGGTTAAGTCCCTGCTTCTGTCTTGCTTTGGCTCTGGAGACAGAGTAACTTGGATGCTCAGTTGAGGTAGGAAAAACATGAAAAGATTGGTGCTTATTTAGCTGTTTTGCTTCTTGTTATTCAGTGGAACTTGGAGGTGGAAGTCCCCTCTTAGTCCCCTCTCCCTCCCCACCTCCCCCTTGGTGATTCCTTGTTGGGAGCAGAAACCACTGACCTGGCCCTGTCAGCACCGTTCTCCCCACTCCCACTCTCTGCTCCCTGACAGGCTCCGTGGCTCCTTGGTCCTCCCCAGGCTGCACTGCTGTTATCCTCAGGTCATCCTCTTGCTCTTTTCTTCCTTCCTTCCTCCATTTCTCATTCTCTCATTGTTCCTTAGGGCTCTTGGCTCCATGCCCCAGGGTAGGCACTAGTACCAGGCACTTATTGTAGTCAGGTGGGTGAGGCCTGGTGGAGGAGATGAGCACAGCTGGTGCTTGAGGACTGTGGAATGTGATGACAGGCACAGCGTGTGTTTTTTTTTTTGAGATGGAGTCTCGCTCTGTTGCCATGCTGGAGTGCAGTGGCGCGATCTCCATTCACTGCAACCTCTGCCTCCCGGGTTCGAGCGATTCTGCCTCAGCCTCCTGTGTAGCTGGGACCACAGGTGCGCACCAAGGGTGTGCTTCTAGTGGGGCAACTTGGGAGGCCCCAAGGCTACCCTGAGGAGGTGACAGGCAAAGAAGGTGGGGAAGGGCATTCAGTTGGAGGGGCTGATGTTTGTGAGACAGCAGGGAGGGGTTTTGGTAGGACCTGTGAGCAAAGATGTTGATCCAGCCGAACTGTGTGGGTCCACTTATATGCAGATTTTTTTCTTTTCGTTTTCTTTTTTTTTTTTCCTGAGACGGAGTCTTGCTCTGTTGCCCAGGCTGGAGTGCAGTGGTGCGCTCTCAGCTTGCTGCAACCTCCGCCTCCTGGGTTCGAGCAATTCTCCTGCCTTGGCCTCTCGAATAGCTGGGACTACAGGTACGTGCCACCACGCCCGGCTAATTTTTTGTATTTTTAGTAGAGACGGGGTTTCACCGTGTTAGGATGGTCTCAATCTCCTGACCTCGTGATCCACCCGCCTCGGCCTCCCAAAGTGCTGGGATTACAGGCATGAGACACCGTGCCTGGTCAGATTTTTATAATCAAATGCAGATAGGAAATACAGTACTCAATACAGTGTTTGAGGGAACTGAAACCAAATATGTGGAGGGCTGACTTTTTGTATACTTGGGTTTCACAGGGCTGACTACAGGACTTGAGTATGTGCAGATAGTCGGAGATGCGGGGGGGCGGGGGCTCGAGGAATAACTGTGTGTGTGTGTGTGTGCGTGTGTGTGTGTGTAATTATTTCTGCTGAATCATTGGAGGTTAAGTTGCAGACGTTGTGCCCCTTTACCCTTGAATAGTTGAGCATGTGTGTAGCCTGAGAGCAAGGGTATTCTCTTACATAATCATAATACAATGATCAAATTCAGGAAATGTAATGTTGCCAAAAATCTGGTAGAACAGCACGTTCAGAACTTTGTGGTGTGTTCTGCCTTCTGTGCCTTCTTCCTCAAAGAATGGGTAATGTAATTGTCCATTAGTTAGTTAATACTATTAACTGGCCAGTTAATTAGTACTGTTGACCAACATCCAGTCCATAATTTTGCTGACTGTCCCCCGATCAATCACAGCTCACTGCAGCCTCAAACTCCTGGGCTCAAGCCATCCTCCCACCTCATCCTCCCAAGTAGTTTGGGACTACAGGAGCATACCATCATGCCCAGCTAATTAAAAAAATGTTTTTTTTCTCGAGACAGAGTCTCACTCTGTTACCCAGGCTGGAGTGCAGTGGCACGATCAGGGCTCACTGCAGCCTCGACCTCCTGGGCTAAAGAGATCCTACCATCTCAGCTCCCTGAGTAGCTGGGACTACAAGCATGCACCACCATGCCCGGCTAATTTTCTGTATTTTTATTAGAGATGGGGTTTTGCCATGTTGGCTAGGCTGGTCTCGAACTCCTGGACTCAAGCAATCTGCCTGCCTCGGCCTTCTACAATGTTGGGATTACAGGTGTGAGCCACTGCACCTGGCCAAAATATTTTTTTGTAGAGACGGAGTCTCATTATGTTACCCAGGCTGGTCTTGAACGCCTGACCTCAAGTGATCCTCCTGCCTCAGCTGCCCAAAGTGTGGGGATTATAGGTGTGACCCACCATTCCTGGTCCTTTCTTTGTGTTTAATAACCTTGACATTTGTGGTGTTGTAGAGACCAGTTTTATAGAATGTCCCTTAATTTTGGTTTATCTAATGTTTCCTGCTGATTAAATGGGCAAGACTGCTGTAATATATATGCAGGGCACACTGACATTATCATCCTTGTTCACATCTATCTGTCTGCCTTACTGGACTGTGAAGTGAAATGTCTGCTTCATCTTTTTTTTTTTTTTTTTGAGATGGAGTTTCGCTCTGTCGCCCAGGCTGGAGTGCAGTGGTGCGATCTCGGCTCACTGCAACCTCCGCCTCCTGGGTTCAGGTGATTCTCCTGCCTCAGCCTCCTGAGTAGCTGAGATTACAGGTGCCTGCCACCATGCCCGGCTAATTTTTTTTTCTATTTTTAGTAGAGATGGGATGTCACCATATTGGTCAGGCTGGTCTTGAACTCCTGACCTCGTGATCTGCCCACCTTGGCCTCCCAAAGTGCTGGGATTACAGGCGTGAGCCACCAGGCCCGGCTGGTCTGCTCATCTTTATGGCCCTAGTTTTGCCCATTGCTGAACCTGGTCCAGATTAGGTATCAGTAGGGGTTTGACTTTGACTTTCCAAGAAGGTGGCATTTCATTTTTGGATGGCTGCTGGTGGCAGATGTTCTTTGGGAGATAAGGTCAGAGTGGACCCAAGCCTGGATGTTGTCACACATGGTGCCTCTCCTTCCTTCAGGATCCAGCCGCAGAAGCCAGGATGAAGGTAGCCTGCATCACAGAGCAGGTCTTGACCCTGGTCAACAAGAGAATAGGCCTTTACCGTCACTTTGACGAGACCGTCAATAGGTACAAGCAATCCCGGGACATCTCCACCCTCAACAGTGGCAAGAAGAGCCTGGAGACTGAACACAAGGCCTTGACCAGTGAGATTGCACTGCTGCAGTCCAGGCTGAAGACAGAGGGCTCTGATCTGTGCGACAGAGTAAGTGTCGGGCGTCACAGAGTTGCTTGGCTTGGGGCCCTCCATGCCTCACTGCTTTGTCTAGGGCAGACACTGGGCAGCTCTCTTGCTTACCTGCATGCTTGTGGGATAAGACTGCATCTGGCCATAACTTTTCATGTGGTGCCAGTCCTTGTGGAGGAAAAAGGGATTTTTGGGGTCCTGGTGTGAGCTGGGTGTGGAGGAAGCTCTGCTAGCCTCGTCAGCACTGCGTGCCCTTGTGGCCAGTATTGAGAGTAGCTGCATCCTCTCCTGGAGGCCAGACTGTTCTAGGTCCCAGGCTGCTTATGTTGTGGTAAAATGAACCTAGACTTTAGAATCAATAGGTTTGAATCCAGGCTCTGATTCAGAGTTTGTAAACCTGGCCAAGTCACCTAACTTCTGTGCCTCAGTTTCCTCATCTATAAAATGGGAATGCTGTTAGCCCCTCATAGGGGTTCTGAGTGTGAAATGAGTTAATGCATGCAAAATATTCAGAACCCTGTCCTGATACAAGCTATGTAAAGGAGTTATCTGTAAATGAGGACAGTAACCTTTTCGCAGAGGTGCCCCTCAGAGTCACTGACTCCCCTGTCCACTCCCTGGCATTCCCTCTCCTCACTCTGTGTGAATTTCCTCATAGCACCTACCACTTTTTTTGTTGTTTGTTTTTGAGACAGGGTTTCACTCTGTCGCCCATGCTGGAGTGTAGTGGCGCAATCTCTGCTCACTGCAAGCCCCACCTCCAGGCTCAAGCGATCCTTCCACCTCAAGTAGCTGGGATCACAGGTGCACACCACCATGCCTGGCTAATTTTTTGTAGAGATGGGGTTTCGCCATGTTGCCCAGGCTGGTCTTGAACTCCTGAGCCCAAGTGTTCTGCCTGCCTTGGCCTCCAAAGTACTGGAATTACAGATGTGAGCCACCGTGTCTGGCCCACGCCTACCACTTTCTGAAACGATTTATTCTTCTACTTAAGTGTTAATTATATGTCAGCATCTGTGGACAAGATCCCTTATCTGTCCTTAGTGCTGTTTTCTGGAACCTAGAATTGTGCCGCGCGCCATGGCTCACTAAACATTTGTTGAATGTTGAATGAATGTGACTATACCAGTCCTCAATGTGACGTACAGTAGGTGACAATGCCTGTCACCCCCCCTTCCCTTGCCATTGATCTTTTGCCTAATTGAATCCCTGGAACTGATTTGACAAGCTGCAAGGAGAGAAGTGATGTTCATAGAGGAGCTGCTATGTGCCAGGGGCATGATAGGTGCTGCCAAGTAGTTTCATACTCAGTCCTCAGAGTCCTAGAATGGAGATGAGGCCCAGGGATGGTGCAGGGCTTGTTCACAAGGGCGTAAGAACGGGGCTTGTGGGTGGTGAAGTTGGCATTTGAAGCCAGGCCTATCTTCCTCCATAGCCAGCCCTGCTGCCCTGGGACACTGTGCTGTTGGCTGCATTTGTGGCTGATACCTGTGGAGCTCTGGGGTCTGTAGGCCTGGGAGATGGTGGGGCCTGCTGAGTGGGGTGGGAGGACAGCTCACAAGTCCTGCCCTGCTCTTGCCTCGGCCAGGTGAGCGAAATGCAGAAGCTGGATGCACAGGTCAAGGAGCTGGTGCTGAAGTCGGCGGTGGAGGCTGAGCGCCTGGTGGCTGGCAAGCTCAAGAAAGACACGTACATTGAGAATGAGAAGCTCATCTCAGGAAAGCGCCAGGAGCTGGTCACCAAGATCGACCACATCCTGGATGCCCTGTAGCCCCTGCCCGCATCCTCCAGGGGGCCCAGGGTGCCTGCACTTTGCTGTGGCAGGCAGATTGGGTGGTAGTGGGAGGTTGTGCATGGAGGCCAGTGAAAGCTGACATCTGTAAAAGGCCTTCAAGGAAGAGAAACCAGGCCCTGCGTCAGGCAGTGTGAGTTTGCCGTTTGTCCTTAACTTTCTTTTTTTTTTTTTTTAAAAAAAGAAAACTTTAAAAAAACTCCCATTAAAAACAAAACATCTTTGTGTTTTGAACAAAGGAATTTTCAATATTTGATTGGTATTCTGTTCTGAAGTCTAAGATATTTTTCAGCCTATAAAGCCCCCTGTTTTATGCCCTTCTAATTCTGATGTTTGGGTATTGTGTGAGTGCATGTGTTTTTTTTTTTTTTTTTAAAGCGTGTGTGAACAAATGGAAATAAAGCAGGGACTGTGAACATTTGTTTTTGGTCTGTTGAAGATCTCTCATAATTTAATTCTTAATTTTGGGAATAGTGCTTTTATCAAGTGCTTTTTATTCATTAAATAATGGATTTGCTTCTCAGCAGGTTTGCAAGGCAAGCATTTACATTTTACATATTAGAACACTGAGTTATTCTAGTACCAGAGTGTTGAAAGTGGTGCCAGAGTGTTGAAAGAGTTGACGTGGCTTATGTCACAGAATGGAGTAGTGGAGTGAGGCCTCCATTTTTGTAGTTTTTGCATCCTTCCTGTGAGTCATGTTTTACTCAGCATCAAGGAAACAGTGATGAGCAAAGCAGAGATGGTTCCTCTCAAGAGGCAAGGGATTGAAAGGTCATGTGGGGAATCGACAGTGCCAGTGAGTGCCAGGCTTTCTGCCCCTCTTTCCTCTCTGCAGGAGTTCGCTCCCTGTCTCCACCTAATGAATTCCTGCTCAGCCTCAGGATGTGTTACTTAAGGTTACTGTGTCAGGGAGCCATCCGTGGCCTGCCACACTCAGTCAAGTCCTGTGGTACCCTCTCGTTTTCCTTTGTACCTCTTCTCCACCTCATATACCACGGTTGGAATGTGTGTGATTACTGAACTAGCTTCAATAGGGCAGGGGTTTTGTCTTTTATGCTCATCTTTATGTTAACAGCTAGGTGTTCAGACCAATCTATGACACGTAGTTGGGTTATTGAATGTTTGCATGAGTGGCTTACAAACAGCTTAAATATTGGCAGGTGGGTTGAGGGATTACTGGGGAAGTCTGTAGAAGACCAGTTGTGAGGAACTGATGCTGAATTCTGTTTCAGACATGGCAAAATGGAGGTGCTCGGGACATCCAAGTGGGAGTGTCCCTGGGCAGGTGGATATTCAGGCCTGGAATTATAAGGTCTGGTGTGCAAGTGGTAAATGTGGGGCTGCCGGGCCTAGACATGGTTATGGAAAAGGTGAGAAGGAGGCTGTGGGAGGGGACAGTGCCTAGGAAGGGTATAGAATAAGAAGAGATCCAGAACTGAATATTAAGACGACAAAGTAATAGTGGCCACCTGGGTTGACAAAGACCAGGACTCTCCTTACCTGGGACGAGAAAGACCAGGACTGTGGTGTCATGAAGCCAAGTGGAAAAATGTTTCCAGGAGTGAACCATCTGAGGCTGAAGAGACCGAGCAGTGCCTTTTGGCTGTAGGAGTGGATCACTGAAGCCTTTTACCCATTGGTGACTTGAGAACTGTGTTGGTGTGGGGATGGGAATTGGACGGAAGTGAGACTTAACTTTGAGTCCTGACAAAGCATTTCGCAAACAGGCTGGGAAAGGGATGAGTGAGGGCCTTCAGGAGGCTGTGCTGCTTGAATGTTCTACTCTAAGGTTGGGGACACCAAGTGTGTTGAATGCCATTGGGAAAGATCCAGTTGAAAATGAGAAGTTGAACATAGGGATTAGGAGATTGTGCAGGGGGAAAATGGGGGATCCAAGGACAGTGGAAGGATGGGAGGAGCAAGAAGGAAGACCCTCCAGAGTCGTGCTCTGCAGTCGGATCCCTGGATGGAAATCCCAGGCCTGCCGCTCTCTGTGACCTCAGGCAAGTCTTTCCGTGCAAAATGGAGTAGGGCTGTTACCTGCTTCCTAGGATGGCTGTGTGGGTCACATGCTGTCATAATGCAAGGTGGCGTATAGCAAATGCTTGTTAAACAGCGACGGTCTCGCCGAGCTCTGGCCTGAGCCGGGGGCAGAGGGTTGGTCCTGTCCTGGGGGTTGGAAGCCGTGGAGGCCACGTTTAATCAGTGTTCACAGTGGTGTGCCCGTGGACCTGGCCTCACGCACGCCCGGCCTTGGGAGCCCCTGCGGGAGGGTGCATACCCTGACCTGCCCGAGAGGCGTCTGCCGCAGCCCCTGCTTCCCCTAGGGAACCCCCGGGCGGCTGTGCCTCACGGAGGGGCCCTGCTTTACCGCGGCTGCATACCACCTCGGGCCATTTGGTCAGCTGCTTCACCAGCTCTCTTCATCCTCTTACTCTCCCTGAATCTTTTTCTTCGTTTTTTGGAGCAGTCAGAAAGCTTGGCCGAAATCAAGATAACTCGCTGGGCCCGCGTGCAGATTGGTGGGCGCCCTCTGCTGGGCCGGCGGGCCTCTCGCAGGCCTGAGGAGCGAGCTGCGCCTGCGCCCTGGTGTCCCTTCGTAACACTGCGGCACGTCACGAGGCGGGCACCGGGGAGTATGGGCGAAATCGCAGGCGCAGACGGCGGGCTCGGGCTAGAAAAGTCGCGCATGCGTGGGGCTAATTTAAAGGCGGCGCGGCTCCAACAGAACCAAAGCCAATTCTCCGGCTGTGGCGCCACCTACGGGTGTGGGCTCGTAAACGGCCTCCTCTGGCCGGACTAGGACTGGGTCTGGGGTCGGCGGGCTCAGGACCACTGGGCTGCTGAGGGGCTTAGCCATGGGGACCTGGGCTCTCAGCTGCCCTGGAAAGCCACAGGGCTAGCTGGGCTGGCCAAGGCCGGTGGCTCCCCCAGCATCCTGTGGTGGGTGCATCCCTGGGCCCAGTGGGGCATCCGGTGCTGCCCTCCCCACCTACGGGCTTACATCCTTTGGTTGCTGGGACAGAGCGCCCTACGCCACGCGCAGCCCTGCGCTTCCCTGATCCTCGGTTTCCCCAGTAGTAAACAGGGCCTCAGTTTCCCCCTTGTAAATCTCAGGGAGGAGGTGAAGTGGGGCCCTAGGTGTAAAGCCAGGTTCAGGCTGGGCATCCCTTGGCGCAAGGTGACATGCCCCAGACACCTGACACCTCTCAGTCTCAGACCCAGCGTACTTTCTCTGTGGCCCTCATGTGGCCGTATAGGAGTGGCCCACCCACTCCCACTCCCATTCAGATCCCCAGGCCACAGTGCCTTTTGTCCAGCCTTGGCCAAGATGCCTGACCCTAGTGGCCTGGCCCTGGCTGCTTCCATGGCTGCAGCTTTGGGATGTCCCTGTAGTCATAGGTGGCCTCATGGCAGTCCCCCAGCCTTGAACCTGGACCCTGGCTCAGGGAGGGGAAAACACGGCTGAAGAAGGGCTGGGTGTCACTTTCTCTCTTCCATTTGTCTTGGAGGCTGTCATGGGAGAAAACCCCAAAGGACCCAGTGCGCCCTCACAGTTTCACCACAAGTATCCTGACCGGGCGTCTGGTGCCGAGCTGATAGTGCAGGCCCCGGCCGCAGCCCCGCCGGAAGCCCATGCTGCCAGCGGTTGGGGGCCGCAGGCTCAGACAGGAAATGCCCCCGAGTGTACCCCAGGGCCCTCTGCAAAGGCCTGATGCTTTGGATGAGGCCTGGCGCCATTTTGAAGCTGGGCCTGACTCTGGGACTCTGGCCTGGTTCTGGGGCTGGTGGCCTGGGATCTGGGGACTGCTTTGTCACCTGCCTGGGCAGGTGTGGGAGATGACAGGGAGGGAAGAGAGAACCTTCAAACTGGGCTAGACCTGAAGCGAAAGCTGAATGATGCAGCCTGTCCCCTACCATGGCCAACCCCTTCATGGTGCCCCCAGCCCAGCCCTTTAGGGTCTCAGCTTCCATCAGGCCCTTAGTTCCATATGTGGTGTGACAGGCCCAGGACTAAATGCAGGGGACACAGAAGGGAGCAGACAGCAGAAGTGCTGGGCATCAGGAAAGGCAAGTCAGAAGGTAGGGCCATCAGGAGGGTCCATCGCAGCATCTGAAGGATTTGCTTGTGGGGGTTGGTGGGGAGGGAGGAGCCCAGACTCCTTTTTTGACTTCCACTCAGGGGATAGAATCCAGAAAGATTTAAGACGAGTGTCTCAGTCTGTTAAGGCTGCTATAACAAAATACCATAGACTGGGTAGCTATAAATAGAAATTTGCTTCTTACAGTTCTGGAGGCTGGGAAGTCCAAGATCAAGGCACCGGCAGATTTGGTGTTGAGAGGTCCTGCTGCTTGGTTCAAAGATAGCACCTTCTCGTGTCCTCACATGGTGGCAGAGATGAGGGAACTCTCGGATGTATCTTATAAGGGCACTAATGTCCATTCATGAAGGCTCTACCCTCATGGCCTAATCACCTCACAAAGGTGCCACCCTCTAATGCTTCACATTGGGGGTTAGGTTTCAACATAAGAATTCTGGGGGGATGCAGACATTCAGTCTGTAGCAGTGGGAAGGACAGGAGCCTGTTCAAATGCTGATGGGAAGGAAGGAGGTAACAGGGACATAAAGGCTGAAGATCCAGGAGAGAAGGGGCCAGTGAATAGATCCCAGTAGAGCAGGATTGGGTGGGATTGAGGGCTTAAGGCAGTGATCTCATGGGAGAGCCCTGAGAGACTGTGCCTTCATTAGCACTGAGGAGATCAGCAAAGACCTGTTCAAGCTTCGCCTCCTGGGCAGCCTTCCCTATTCTCCAGGTGGGCTGAGATGTCCCTACCTTACACTACTGGACACTGCTTTCTGAAGTGGAATGGACTGTTTGCCTCCCTACACTGGGTGCTCTATTTCAGCAGAGTTTAAACAGAGGCAGCACATCCATTCATTCAACAAATATCTTCAACTGAGTGCAGTGGACTTTATAAATGTCCTCCCAACACTTTGGGAGGCTGAGTTGGGAGGATCATTTGAACCCAGGAGGTTGAGGCTGCAGTGAGCTATGATCACACCACTGCACTCCAGCCTGGGTGACAGAGAGAAACCCTGTCTTGAAAACAAAAACAATTTTTGTATTTTTTGTAGAGACGGGGTTTTGCTGTGTTGCTCAGGCTGGTCTCAAACTCCTGGGCTCAAGTGATCCACCTGCCTTGGCCTCCTGAAGTGCTGAGATTATAGGCATGAAGCACCATGCCTGGCCTATTTGCCATTTTTAAATAATGGATGAGGTTGGTCATTTTTCCTTGTGAATTTGCCTTCTTATGTGTGGTTTATGCATTGTTGAGGTTTTTGCCTTTTTCAAAGGTGAGTAGGAAAGCTAGTAACAGAAAAATGGGTGCTCATTGTTATTTCTTTTTTTTTCTTTCTTTTTTTCTTTTTGAGACAGAGTCTTGCTCAGCCACCCAGGCTGATCTTGCCCGGGTGCAGTGGCGTGATCTGGGCTCACTGCAACCACCGTCTCCCAGGTTCAAGGGATTCTCCCACCTCAGCCTCCCAAGTAGCTGGGATTACAGGCACCCACCATCATGCCTGACTAATTTTTGTATTTTTAGTAGAGACGGGGTTTCACCATGTTGGCCAGCCTGGTCTTGAACTCCTGACCTCAGGTGATCCACCCACCTCGGCCTCCCAAAGTGCTGGGATTACAGGCATGAGCCACTGCATCCGGCCTCATTATGATTTCTAAAAGTCAGCAACTCCGAGGGTAGACAGGAGTGTTCAGGAAAGGGCGCTGCCCTGGGAGGGACAGGGACTGGAAGACCAGAGGGAGGGCTGCATGCGTATTGTTACAAATAAATGCAATCTGAATGGCTAAAAACAAACAAACAAACTATACAAACACACACCAAAGAAAAATCCACTTTGTAGTGGGCACTGTTTTGGGCACCAGCAATATGATAGTGATAAATGCTATGAAGGAAATAAAATGGGTGATATGATAAATGGATGTAGTCTGGAGGGTCAGGAGGGCATCCCTTAGAGGAGACTCCTGAGCTGAGACCCAGGACAGCTGAGAGCTGGGCAGGGTGGTGTAGCAGGGTGTGGGCTGGGTGGCCATAAATCCTTCAGCCTCTTTTCTCTTGGCCTCTTCCTCACCCCATCCAGGCCTCTGGTGGCTGCAGGACCTCCTGCCTGCAAGTCAGGTCTCATGCATACCTGCCCTCTAGAGCGCTCCAGCTTCTCAGCTTCCAGCTTCCTCTCCCCTAGGCTTGGGTCCTGGTGCCTGCAATGGCCCCAGCACTCATGCCCCCTAGACTTTGCGTCAAGGAGCTGTCATACTCATGCCAAGCTCCTGATGGGTGTCTGACCCACTCAAGCCTCCGGGCTTTCTGTTTCTCTTCTCTGAGCCTCACATTGCTCACCTGGAGAATGAGGACCATAACGATATCAGGACTGGAAGGAGCTCAGAGGTATGCTGCCTGGGAAAGCCCCTGGCGCAGCACCGGCTCAAGGAGCAGGAGTCTCTTCCTTTGACAGATACCAGGGTGACAAGTATAATGCTTTGATTTGAACTAAGAGTAGCTGTTTACAAAGTGCTTTCTTTATAAATGTCCATTTATTCATTGGTTCAGACTGCAGATCGAGGTCTCAGCAGTCTGAACCACCTATTGGGTTGGAGCCCTAGGTGTGGAGGGAGAAGCCAGCCCTCGCTGAGACAGACAGACCTGGGACAGGTCCCTCTCTGCAGCCGGCACCTGTGTGAACTTGGGCAAGTCCCTGACCTCTCTGGGCCTCAAGTCTTACTGCACAATGACAGATGTCCAAGGGCCTTCTAGCATTGATGAGCTGGGATTCTGGGGCCAGTTAGTGCAGGCAGAGTCCCAGAAGCAGCCTCAGTGGAGGGAGGGAGGAAGCACAGATTTTTGTTTTTATTTTATTTTTCCAAATTCCTGTTCCTCCACAGTGCTGGGATGAGGCAGGTATGAGGTCCCTACGGCGGGTCTCATGGTTGCCTTGTCAGTGAACGCTGGGGGTGCTGTGATGCAATGTGGATCCTTCCTGACCCCTGTGACCTGTGCTAGCAGGGTGGGGCCTTCTGTCTGTCTCCGTCTCATGTTTACCCTCCTGGGGGGTGCGCAGAAGGCACATGGGCACACACATGCAGCTCTTCCAATGCTCAGATGTGCGCATGCCACTCTCACACCTGTGACTGTCACCGAGGCTCACAGACATGCACACACGAGTGAACACACGCAGGTGCACACACGGCGCTAGGCAGATTCACACATGCCAGATACGTGCACTCGCCATGTCCCTGGCCCTGGGGATACAGTCGGGAGTGGGCAGAGTCCCCGCCACAGGGACCTTGTGCAGCCCACAGAGATGCCTGCAGAGTGGAAATGATAAGGAGCCCGTTCACGCTCTGCCAGGTGCGGCTCTGGCTGCCACTGTCACCAGTGAGGGAACTTGCACAGCATGTGAGCCTGGCGTGCCGGTCTCAGAGCCTGTGTTCTCGCCTTCTGCACTACCCATCCTTTCTCACAGACTCTCCCCTTCATGCACAAGTGCACAGACTCCCAGAGGCATGCAGAGGCACACAGGCTGCTCTGGGGCACACGTGCGTGCAGAAACACTCTGCGTGGTGTGCTCACACGGTGAGTGCACCCTGCCGCTCTGTGCTACCACGCGCTGCTGCTCTGGAGAGCACCTGTCTGTTTTCTTTAAAAAAATTTAAATATAGGCTAGGTGTGGTGGCTCACGCCTGTAATCCCAGCACTTTGAGAGGACCAGGCGGGCGGATCACGAGGTCAGGAGATCGAAACCATCCTGGCTAACATGGTGAAACCCTGTCTCTACTAAAAATACAAAAATTAGTGGGCGTGGTGGCATGCGCCTATAGTCCCAGCTACTTGGGAGGCTGAGGCAGGAGAATCGATTGAACGCAGGAGGTGGAGGTTGCAGCGAGCTGAGATTGCACCACTGCACTCCAGCCTGGGCGACAGAGCGAGACTCTGGAAAAAAAAAGAAAAAAAATTATATACATATTTTTTAAATAGTAGAAATGGGGTCTTGCTATATCGTCCAGGCTGGTCTTGAACTCCTGGGCTTAAGCGATCCACCCACCTCAGCCTCTCAAAGTGCTGGAATTACAGGCATGAGCCACCACACTGGCCACCTGTCACGTTCCTAAGTCTCAGCTCCAGGTCCTGTCACTCTCCCCTCTGCCTCTTGGGGCCTGGCTTGAAGCCCTGAGGCCTGCCCACTTTCCTGACCACTTCTCTCCATCAGGATGGGGCCCCAGGCCTGGAGCTTGTGCATGGCACAAAGGCCTGGAGGAGAGGGAGTGGGGTCCAGGCACACAGGGAGTGCATGTTGGATGGACATGGACGAAGGCATGGCCACCCACCACCAGCACCCGCAGCTCTACCCGAGAGCCCAGGGTTTCCCTCTCCACCAGTAGAGAGGTGTGGCCTGCAGCTGGTCCACTGGGCCAGGTGCTGGGAGCCCTGGGGGAGCAGGACCAGAGGATGGGGTGGGGGGATTTGTCAGAGATGGAGGCTGACCTGAGGAGGAGATCCTTCTGAATCTGACAGGGCTAGAGAGGGGTGATTTGGGGAGGGAGGCTTGGGCTGGAGGAATCCATACACACTCGGGGTGAGGGGGAAGGAGAGGCGTTAGCTCCAGGAAGGTGTTATTTTGGGCTGTGACCCATGTGTGTGTGTGTCTGTGTGTCTCTGTGTATGCATGTGTGTGTCTGTGTATATGTATATGTGTGTGTCCTTGCACATGTCATGTGGCTGTGCAAGTGCATGTGTGTGTGCATGCATGTGTGTGTGTGTTGTGTGTGGTGGGAGGCAGCCTGGGGCTGTCAGAAGAGGGCAGAAGGTGGGATCAGGCCTAGCTGGACCTGAACCCTGCTTGTGCCAGCTGGGTAACTTTGAGGCAAGTCATTTAAGTTCTTTCTGCCTGTTTCCCCATTCAAAGAATGGACCAAATATTACTTACGTTGTGAAGATGACAAATATGTGTGTAAAATCCAGGCACACACGATGTGCTTAGGACACAGCAGTTATGATTTATTTGTGTGTTGTCTTTGTGGAGTGGGGGGAGGATTTGCAGCCTTTTAAGGACTTGGGAATTTCAGGTCTTGACAGAGCCAGTCTGGAAGGCCCATCTGGTGTGGCTGCTCTGAGGGACTGGGGACATTGCCCCCGTGTTTACAGAGACCCATAGTCAGACATCCATGGGCCAGGCACAGAGGCAACACAGCAGTCCTGCCCGCAGGGCCCCCAGTGGACAGGCAGAGGCGCAGATAATACAGTGGCTGTCCCAGGGTCCACAGCTGGGTGTG
This sequence comes from Homo sapiens, assembly GCF_000001405.40. NCBI lineage: Eukaryota > Metazoa > Chordata > Mammalia > Primates > Hominidae > Homo > Homo sapiens. The sequence goes on along the minus strand of NC_000003.12, from coordinate 128,611,042 downwards.
GGGGGCTTGAGGGTTAGAATTGGCCGGGCCCTATGCGGGGCATTTGATTCTAGTTCGTTCTATTTTTATCTTTTTCATCAGATCAGGGCACCATGCCCTCTGGGCTCGCTGCGTCTTCCTGCTTCCCAGCCCCAATTTCCCTCCCCTTTCCTACCTCCAGCGCATCTTGTGTGAGACGCATGGGGACAGGTGTGTGTACACCCTGGGGAATGTGTGGTGGGTTTTCATTTATCTGTGTCCATGTCGATCAAGAGCACATGCTCATGCTGCCTGTCTTAGTCTGTTCAGGTTGTGATAACAAATAACAACAATCGGGGTACTTAGAACAACACACATTCCTTTTTCACAGTTCAGGAGGGTGGTAACTCCAAGATGAGAGTGGCAGCAGGGGCGGGCTCTGCAGAGGGCTGTCTTCCGGGATGCAGCCTGCCGGTGTCCTCACTGTGTCCTCGCAGGCAGAAGTTGGCGTGCCGAGCCAGTGCTCTGCTATCAGGGCTTGGAGCCCAATTATGAGCACTCCTCCTTCATGGCCTAGTCACCCCCAAAAGGCCCCACATCCTGATACCATCACTATGGAATTAGGACATCAACAGGTACATTTTGGGGGGATAAATGCATTCAGACCATGGCACTGGTTTCAGTTGTCATGTAAGTCACCACTCATATATCAAGGCTAACTCATGACCCTAGATCTACATGGGGTCTGCCCTCTACCTCACAGCAGAGATGGACACCCACACCACCATCTTCCCCGTGTCTCACCACCTGCACCCCAATTACGGACACCTATGCCTCTGTCTTCCCTGCGTCTCTCAGCACTCTACAGCGAGTGACACACACACCTTCATCTTTCTTCCATGCTTCATGTTGCAGTGGAGAGGCTGGGGATTGGGAGGAGGTGCTGCTGGGGTATGGGGAGTGAGATCTGTGCCGCAGTGGGGTGGGATTCAGGAGAAAACCAGGCAGTGTCCCACCAGTTCACTTGCTTGTAACACAGAAACCTCTTCAATGGAAATGGAACCCTGTCTAGAATGCCAGACTCTCTGCTGACCATTCTCTCTGGTCAGAACTGGATCACTTTATTTGATGTAAATTGTATTTGATTTATTTTTTTCTTTTTTAAGAGATGAAGTCTCACTATGCTGCCCAGGCTGGTCTCAAACTCCTGGGCTCGAGTGGCCCTTCCGCCTCAGCGTCCCAAAGTGCTGGGATTACACGTGTGAGCCACAGCACTGGCCATAAATTGTATTTGATTTTTACAGCTACCTGTATTTAGCCATGTGAAAGTGATTTTCCACTTATGTCAGAGATACAAAGTTTCGTTTAGGGATAAATTGTAAAAAAGAATATAGGCCTGGGTGGTGGCTCATGCTTTTAATTCCCATACTCAGCTTGAGTACCGGAACCAAGACTAGTCGAGGCAACATAGTGAACCTCATTTCTTTAAAAAAAAAAAAAAGAAAAATGGCTTGAGCAGAGTGGAGCTGGATTAGCTGGAAGCTCCACCTCGCAGAGGCCGGGAGCCGGTGGCCAGGGTTGGGTTGCTGGATTTGACGCCACCTGGCTGTGTGACTGTGGAAAGGTGCTCAGCTGCTCTGAGCCTCCATTTTCCATTCATAAAACGGGGTCATATTAATTTCTAACAAGAGCGTGGTTGTTGGTGTGATCCTCAAATAAGCTGACAGCGGTCAGGTGGTGCCCATGGTCAGTACTGTGTAGGCCTGGCGTTAGGATGTGAATATGAACACGGGTGATAGGTGCGTCCTGCACATGCTGCAAGGTGGACCTGAATGCTGGCAAAACACTGATCTAGTTCAGCTCATGTTTCAGAGGGGAAATGGTCCCTTTTGCCTCATGCCACACTCCCCTGGCCACAGTGGAACCCAGTGGCTATTAAGGGGCTGTCTGGGGTCAGTCCTAATGGGTGGCTTTAGAGTCAGACGGGTCTCTGAGCCTCAGGGCCTCATCCATAGCATGAGATAACCCCTTTGGGAGGCTGAGGGAGGTGGATCATGAGGTTAGGAGTTCGAGACCAGCCTGACCAACATGGTGAAACCTCTACTAAAAATACAAAAATTAGCGTGGTGGTGCCTACCTGTAATCCCAGCTACTCAGGAGGCTGAGGCAGGAGAGTCGCTTGAACCTGGGAGGCGGAGGTTGCAGTGAGCCGAGATCGCGCTGCTGCACTCCAGCCTGGGCGACAGAGAGAGACTCCGTCCCCCCCGCCCCCAAAAAAAAGAATGAGATAACCCCATGCTCGGGGGGTGGTCATGGGACTATACCTGCAGAGCACACAGCAGGCGCTCCATAAATGCTGGAGTCATAACACCCCATGTCCCATGTGCCAGCTGCCCAGCAGCAAGTCTGGCCTCCTCCTCCGGTTCTCGGCCCTGAACAAAGTCACCGCTCCAGCGACAGCTCCTTGGCAAAGTGGGGCTCTGGGCCCTGGCGAGAGCGCGGCTGTCCTGCCCCACGCCTGCGAGGCCGGCAGGGATTGGAACCCGCGGCCGCCAGAGGGCGCCCCCGCCTAGGCCACGCGCACCTCCCGGCTGGCAGAGGGGCCGGTCCTCAGCGCGGTGGCAGCCTGGGCGCCCGCCCGCCACTACTGGGCTGTGTGTCACCCTGCCTGCCTCAGTTTCCTCGGCTGTGGCGTGGGATTCTCCCCGGGATCGCCTCGCAGGGCTGCTGAGAGGCTCGATGAACGCCAGCGGTTGTTGCGGCGCTGCTGTTCCAAGCCGGGGGTGACGGGAACCCACGTCCTCACGCCCTGGCTGCTCCCGGCTGCCCCGCGGGCCGGCAGCTTCCCGTTCAGGAAACTCAGCCTCGGGAAGGGCGGAGAAAGGTCCCGCGGCTGCGAGGAGCCCAGCGGGGCTTGGCGCCTGATGACCGGCTCCGGAACGGGCTGTTACCCCGCGTATCTCGGTCTCTGCAGCGGCCAAAGTCGCCCGCTGACCTGGAGCACCTGCAGGCCCTGGGCAGAGGACCCGGGGCCATTCCCGCAGCCCTGGCCTGGGAGCTCCGGCTTCTAGTGGTGGCTCCGGGTCAGGTCCTGTGGGGTCCCAGGGACATTCCCAGGCCGAGGTTCCTGTTCAGAGGCCACCCTTTGGCACCAGAGCCATCCAGCGCGGCCTGCGATTCAGGGCCAGAGGAAACAGCAGACACTGAGTGGCTGTCTGGCCCCAGCTTTGCAGAGCCTTTGCTTAGCCGGGAGTGTGGATGCCCGTTGGAGAGCCATGGCTTTTCCCAGCCTGTGTGGCAGCGTTGGGTGGGGCGGCCCCTCTCCTGGGCTGACCCTGAGCAAGGCAATGAGGACCGGTGCAAACTCCTCACAGCCTGTGGGCAGTTCATTAGCTGTGGTTCTCAGGTGCTTCTCATACACACTCTCAGTAGGGCACAACTTCCACGCTTCCATTTACTTATTTAGAAATGTGGTTTGGCTATGTTGGTCAGAGTGGCCTCAAACTCCTGGGCTCAAGCCATCCTCCTGCCTCGGCCTTCTGAGTAGCTGGGACTACAGGCGTGCGCCATTACGCCCTGCTACACATCCCTGCTTTAGCAGGTGAGCGAACGGGGCATGGATAGGGCAAATTCAAGGCTTCACGCCAAGTAATTGGGAGAACCTGGACTTGAACCTAGGTCTTCACCCCTCCCTGACATCAGGGAGATGGCCTTCCTGGAGCTGCAGCCAGATCCCACTGTCCCTGGCATTGTGCTGTGTCCATGCCTGTGCTACACTCCCTACCCTAACCCCCGTCTCACTCCGATTCTCCCCTCCTTCAAGGCTTAACACCTCCACAAATGCCACAAAACCTTCCCCAGTGATCCCCACAGCTACTGGTGTCCTGGGTCTTCGAAGTGTTCCTTCTTGTCTGCCTGGAAAAACTCCTATTCATTCTCTTTTTTTTTGAGATGGAGTCTGGCTCTGTAGCCCAGGCTGGAGTGCAGTGGCACGATCTCGGCTAACTGCAAGCTCCACCTCCTGGGTTCACACCATTCTCCTGCCTCAGCCTCCCGAGTAGCTGGGACTACAGGCACCCGCCACCACGCCCGGCTAATTTTTTGTGTTTTTAGTAGAGACGGGGTTTCACCGTGTTAGCCAGGATGGTCTCGATCTCCTGACCTCGTGATCTGCCTGCCTCGGCCTCCCAAAGTGCTGGGATTACAGGTGTGAGCCCCCGCGCCCCGCTGAAAAACTCCTATTCATTCTCTAAAACCCACCCCCAGGGTTACTCCTGGGAAAGCTTAAGTGCTACTTTCCTTCTCCCTCTCATAGACATGGTTACTGCCTTGCTGGGGTCTCTGTGCACTGGGGTTACAATGTTGTGATGGTATCACCACATCTGTTTATATCCAGATTCATTACAAAATGTTTCTGTGTTTTAAAAATTGTAAAAGTGGTATGGGCCTATAGTCCCAGCTACTTGGGAGGCTGAGGAGGGAGGATCGCTCTAGCTCAGGAGTCTGAGGCAAGCCTGGGTGACGTAGCAAGACCCTGTTTGTAACAACAAAGAGAGATTTTAAAAATTGTAAAAGGCCAGGCGTGGTGGCTCATGCCTGTAATCCGAGCACTTTGGGAAGCTGAGGTGGGCAGATCGCTCAAGCTCAGGAGTTCGAGGCCAGCCTGCCGAACATGATGAAACCCCATCTGTACTAAAAATGTAAAAATTAGCTGGGCACGGAGTCGAGTACTTGTAGTCTCAGCTACTCAGGGGACTGAAGTGGGAGGATTACTTGAGCCTAGGAGGTTGAGGTTGCAGTGAGCTGAGATCACACCACTGCACTCCAGCCTGAGTGACAGAGTGAGCCCTTATCTCAAAAAAAAAAAAAAAAAAATCCCAATTGTAAGAGTTAACACATGCTCATACTAAGGATCCAGACAGATCAGAAGGGTATACAGAGGCAAGCAGAATCTCCGGCTTCCTACCAGCTTCTCTTCCAGAGAAACACAGTGTTAGCAATTTCTTGTGAATTCCTCTGGAAAGTCTCCATTCATTTACAGGATGTCACACTATATTGCTTTAATTATCCTTCTCTGTCCACTGCTCCATACCTAGTTCCCTGAGGACTGGCTAGGATCTGACTTAGGTAGGTGCTGGAATCAGTCCTGGGCCGGGCTGGAAAAGATGATCAGAAAATTTTGCATGGGATAGTTTTATTCCCTCCTGACACCAACTGACCAGATAGCATGGGATCTGGTGAACCTCCTTGCTCCTAATTGGAGGCTGCCATCTCCTAGCTGGCAGATGTATTTTCTTTTCCTTATAGAATATTATTATCATTACTGAAAGATGAATTCATTTTCAACATTTAAAACCTGAGAGATATTACTTAAAAAATATAATTTTCCCATCTGGCACAGAGGTTCATGCCTATAATCCCAGACCTTTGGGAGGCCGAGGTGGGAGGATCGCTTGAGCCCAGGAGTTCAGCCTGGCCAACAGAGGGAGACCTCATCTCTACAAAAAATTTTAATAATTAGCCAGGCATGCGGTATATGCCTGTAGTTCCAGCTATTTGTGAGGCCAAGGTGCAATTGCTTGAGCCCAGGAGGTCGAGGTTACAGTGAGCTATGTTTGTACCACTGCACTCTAGCCTGGGCAACAGAGCAAAACCGCCTCTTAAAAAAAAAAAAAAGAACAGTAGAATTTTCCAGATCTCTTGAAAAGGTTCAGAGGGTTCAACTGAGCACTCAGGTCTGTGCAGCCTCACCTCACTCCTTGTCCCCGAACCCCGGGGCCCCTAAGCCTGTGTCCCATGTCCTTGGCAACCTAATGAGGAAGATGGACCTGCATGAAAATAGTCCATGACAAGTGACTGCAGCAGCTGAGTTTCCCAGCAGAGGTGGGAGAATGATTGAGACGGACCCCAGGCTGGGGACTCTGCAGAAGCGTGAACCCCAGTGCTGTCCTGTGGGACACATACTCCTCCCGGTCCATGGGGTTCACACTCTGGATCCTCACTGTTCTGTTCACTGCAGAGAGGAGCAGGGGTGGGAAGTGGGTGGGCCTGTTTCAGGGTGGCCCCTGCTCAGCTCCAGGCATAGGGCCACGAAGGAATGTGGGCTCAGAGTGGCCAGAGCTTCCAAAGCAAAGCTGGAAATACAGCCTGAAAGAATGGACTTAAAGAAAATAAAAACCTGGTAACCCATGCAGCAAGCTCCGTATGCCAGTGGCCCTCAGTTTATGTCTCTGATTTGCTGGTACCCTCATTGCTTTAGAGAAAAGTTTCCCCCACCTAAGAAATAGGAAGTTCCTAATGGCAGAACCCAGGACAGCCCTTTCAATGGCTGCATTTTGCTTTATAGAAAACCCACCAGGCTGCCCCTGAGCTTCTGGTTGTCCCATGAGGAGAGGGAACTTCACTGGCCTGAGCCTGTCGACCGTGTGTGGTCCTGAATATGATGACCCCAGAGCAACCCCCAGCCTCCTCCTGCAGTCCTGCTGTGCTCTGCCAAGTCCAGTCCTGCCTGGCTGCAGAAACACAGGGACACTCTGCAGCACTGAGAGAAGTGCTCGCCAAGGAGAAACACATGTCTTCCTCCAGGGAAGCCACCTTGGGGGCTGGCAGGGCCAGGGACTGGAGCGCAGGGTTCTGGGCCAGGAGGTTTGGAGTCAGCTCTGGCTTTGGGGAGCTTCCAGGCTGAGGAGGCTCAGCAGGCAGCAGCTCCCTCCCACCCTCCTGCACAGCCAGGACCTGCCTGGGCATCAGACTGGCCCATGATACAAGCCTGCCTTCACACCTTGGCCTCTTCCCCCTCCAGGTGTCCAGAGCCCGGCTGGCGCAGGTGGGGCAGCCAGGCTGAGGCCGCAGGGCAAGGCCGGGCTGAGCTGTCCTTTTGCCTCTCTCCGGGTGAGGCCTCCTCTGTCCTTCCTTTCCCAGTGCCCCCCCGCCCTGCTCCTCTGCGGGGGTACAGCATGGGGAGGTTGTTGACAATTTGTGCATTAATCTCTCTGCCGGGGGCCTCCTGGTCAGGTGGTGCTTATCAGGGCCCTGCTCCTGTCAGATGGGCCTTCCGGAGCCCGTGGGCGAGGGGGGGTGGCAGAAGCCCCTGCTGCAGGGCCTGGAGGCTGCCTCACCATCCCCAGGCCTTCACATCCCCTTGCGCCCCCGCGGGCAGCCTGCTTTACCACATCAGGATACAGAACATTGCATGAATTCCGGTCTCAATGGAATTATTTCAGAATTCTGGTCAACCGCAAGCTCAGGGTATTTCACAAACTATCTATCACTGCTGTGCGGTGGGCAGAGTCTGGGCAGGGGGCAAGTAACGGATGCAGGGAGGCCCCGTCCACTGCCTGTGGGGGTGGCATGTCCCCCCCAGTGGCACCCCTGCCTCTGCAGACAGATGGCGTGTCCCCTGCCCCCCATCAGCAGGGGAGCTCAGGCCTGGAGTGGGGGCTTAGGAGAGGCAGCGGGAGGCCAGGCCCTGGCTTTGAGGGTACCTTCGAGAGGGCACCCAGGTTTGGGGCCCACTCCTACCAGCGTGGGGCCTTGGCAGGTGCTTGGAGTCTCAGTTGTTCCAGCTGTAAAATGGGATCATGATGCCCAGCCCCCATTAAGCAAATGTTCAGAGATCGGCAAGATGCGTGCCCTTGCCGATTCTCTTAGCATTTCAGGATTACTACAGGGCAGCATCTATGAAGTGCCTGGCTGAAAGTGGGTGCTCCATGACTGGGAGCTGTACCGTAATGAGAGCAATACTATGAATCATTCTCCTGATAACACCTCCCCACCCCTCTATACTTGAGATCATGCATAGAACTTGGGGGAAGGAGAGACCCTACCTCCAGGGTGGCAGACATCTGCACACTACCCGTCCTCTACTGTGGCGAAGGTGGCAACATCTCCAAGGAGCTCCTTCCTTCAATCATGGACGGTGCCTCAGAATCCTCCTCATCACAGTGCTGGACATCATTACCGACCCCTCAGAGTAGGCGCCAGAGGAAGCCGCTTAATTATTCTGGCCCCAACTCGTGAGAGTGGTCTGAATTGGCAGGGCAAGGGGTCCCCCCTCTGCTTCCTAAACTTTCCTGGAAGCTCCAGGTCCTTTCTCCAGAACCTGGCCCCAGCCACCTTTCCCAGAGGCAGGGATTGGAGGGCCAATCTCGTCTCTCCCTCTGCAGGCCTCCTGCTGACCATGAGTGATTAGGCCCCGCACTGGGAGGAAGGAGATCCGGGCCCCCAGGCTGGCACAGGCTCCAGTTCCCACAAGGGTCTAGGACTCCAGGCCGTCTGTTTAGCAAGACGCTCTTAGGCAGCATGGCCAAAGTTGGGCTGGAGCACCCGGGGGCTCTGCTGGCCCAAGCCAAACTCAGACTGCCCAGCCAGTGGGGATGGGCTCCAGGGCCTGAATCTGGGATAACAGCGCTGTCCCTCTTGGGCAGAGGGTAGGGGAGGACAAGGCCCTCGTCTAAACATTTTTCAAGCCCACTTTGGGACCCCCAGCTGGCTGAGGGTATCAACAAGAGTTGGGGAGGGAACTTTTGAAATCAGGAGGCCTGAGAAACCCAGGACTCCTGTCCTTGTGGTAAGGCTATGAGGGATACAGAGCTTGCGGCAATTCCCCAAGGCCATTTAAATCATTCTCCACCCCGATGATGGCTTTTTCTTGTCCCTTTAATGAGATGCTCCCCCTGCCCCCACAGCCATTTTGCAAGCTTTCCTGGGGTCCTGCGCACCTGTGGGCTGAGATCCAAGGCTGTGTGAATTCTTCCATAGACAGGACCAGAGTGCACAGCCATTCAGCCTGTGGTACCTGGGCTTCACCTGTTATTTTGGAGATTGCGTATATTGGTTATGTTTTTCTGCCTCATTCTTTTCTTTATTTTTAAACTTTTGGCCGGGCAGGGGAGCTCACATCCACAGTCCCAGCACTTTGGGAGGCCGAGGTGTGGGCAGATTGCTTGAGCTCAGGAGTTTGAGACTGGCCTGGGCAGCATGGCGAAACCCCGTCTATACAAAAATCAACCAGGCATGATGGCTTGTGCCTGTAATCCCAGCTACTTGGGAGGCTGAGGCAGGAGAATCGCTTGAACCTGGGAGGCAGAGGTTGCGGTGAGTTGAGATCGCGCCATTGCATTCCAGCCTGGGTGACAAGAGTGAAACTCCGTCTCAAAAAAAAAAAAAAAATTTAGCTGGGCGTGGTGGCAGGTGCCTGTAGTTCCAGCTACTCAGGAGGCTGAGGCAGGAGAATCGCTTGAACCTGGGAGTTGGAAGTTGTAGTGAGCCGAGATCGCACCATTGCACTACAGCCTGGGTGACAAGAGTGAAACTTCGTCTCAAAAAAAAAAAAAAAAAAAGCACTTTGGGAGGCCGAGGTGGGCAGATCACGAGGTCAGGAGATTGAGACCATCTGGCTAACATGGTGAAACCCTGTCTCTACTAAAAATACAAAAAATTAGCTGGGCGTGGTGGTAGGCACCTGTAGTCCCAGCTACTTGGGAGGCTGAGGCAGGAGAATGGCATGAACCTAGGAGGCGGAGCTTGCAGTGAGCCGAGATCGCGCCACTGCACTCCAGCCTGGGCGACAGAGCGAGACTCAGTCTCAAAAAAACCAAAAAAACAAAAAAACAAAAAACGGGCTGGGTGCGGTGGCTCACGCCTGTAATCTCAGCACTTTGGGAGGCTGAGGTGGGTGGATCATCTGAGGTCAGAAGTTCGAGACCAGCCTGGCCAACATGGTGAAACCCCATCTCTACTAAAAATACAAAAATTAGCCGGGTGGCAGTGGTGCGCGTCTGTAATCCCAGCTACTGAGGAGGCTGAGGCGGGAGAATTGCTTGAGCCTGGGAGGCAGAGGTTGTGGTGAGCTGAGATCATGCCACTGGGCTCACTCCAGTCGGGGTGACAGAATGAGACCCTGTCTCAAAAAAAAAAAAAAGAAGGACATTACAGTTTTTAAATGTTGCCTCTAAATTTGCCTGTGAACCAACTATTGGACAGAATTGATGAATTATTTTGTCAGCGATGATAATGTGTTTTGACTATACAGAAAAACTTTATTTTTTCACTTGTGCCCTGGAGTATATAAAGGTGTATGAAGACATGATGGCTGTGTTCTACTGAGAAATATGTCAGCATAAAACATAAAATGAATTAAGGTTTTCTTCTGCATAAAATGAATTAAGTTTAACCTCAAATCGGAGCTTCACATCAGCGTTCCAGAGATAAAGGTCATAAAGTTGAGGACTGGCTGAGAAAGAGGGTGGCTCTAGGGCAGGCCTGGGGAAGCCGAGGAGGTAAGGGACTCAGGGAGGGAGGGGCCCAGGCCCTGGCAGGGGGCAGCAGGTAGAGGAGGGTGGCTGGGGCTTCAGAAGGACTTGTGAGCTGGGTGCTGTTCTAAGCACTTCTGCACAAACTAACTCATTTCATCCAAGCAATGGCCCGAAGCGGTGGGAACTGTTATTGTGCCCATTTCAAAAATAAGGAAACTGGCCTGGCATGGTGGCTCACACCTGTGATCCCAGCACTTTAGGAGGCTGAGGTGGTCAGATCATCTGAGGTCAGGAGTTCAAGACCAACCTGGCCAACATGGTGAAACCCCATCTCTACTAAGAATACAAAAAAAATTAGCTGAATGTGGTGGTGGGCACCTGTAATCCCAGCTATTTGGGAGGCTAAGGCAGGAGGATCGCTTGAACCCTGGAAGCAGAGGTTGCAGTGAGCTGAGATTGCACCACTGCACTCCAGCCTGGGTGATAGAGTGAGACTCTGTCTCAAAAAAAAAAAAAAAGGAAACTGAGCCAAAAAGAGGTTAGGACCTTGCCACAGACACTGGCAGGGGACTGCAGGAGTGGGGACAGGAGCCCAGGAAGCCTGTCTTTGCTGTTAACCACCAGCTTCACCTGGCGGGACCACAGGTGGCCTGGAAGTTTTAAAGTTGCATTTATTTATTTATTTATTTATTTAGATGGAGTTTTGCTCTCGTTGCCCAGACTGGAGTGCAGTGGCGCGATCTCGGCTCACTGCAACCTCTGCCTCAAAATGATTCTCCTGCCTCAGCCTCCCTAGTAGCTGGGATTACAGGCGCCCACTACCGTGCCCACCTAATTTTTTTTTTTTTTTTTGTATTTTTAGTAGAGATGCGGTTTCACTATGTTGGCCAGGCTGGTCTCCAACTCCTGACCTCAGGTGATCCACCCACCTTGGCCTCCCAAAGTGCTGGGATTACAGGCGTGAACCATCACACCTGGCTTGCATTTATTTATTATTTTATTTTCTGAGTTAGAATCTCGCTCTGTTGCCCAAGCTGGAGTGCAGTGGCATGATAACAGCTCACTGCAGCCTCAACCTCCTGGGCTCAAGTAATCCTCCCATCTCAGCCCCCACCTCTCTGCTCCAGTAGCTGGGACTACAGGTGTGTGCCACCACACCCAGCTAAGTTTTTTTTAGAGATGGGGGTCTCACTATGTTGCCCAGGCTGGTCTTGAACTCCTGGACTCAAGTGATCCTCCTGCCTTGACTTCCCAAAATGTTGGGATTACAGGCGTGAGTCACTGCTCCCGGCCTGTATCTATTTATTCTGAGAAGTGATATAACATTGCAGAAAGTTTTAAAAATAACAAAACCAAAATGAACAAACAAAACATTTCCCCACAAAACCGCATTCCCACCATGATCATTTGGGTGTGTCCTTGCCCAGTGGACATTTTCATGAACATAACTTTTTCTTTTTTCTTCCCCTCCCTTTATCTGTTTTTTTTTTTTAATGACTTTCTAAGACTAGATTTCCAGAAATAAATGAACAGGGCAAGGGGGATAGTTTATAAAATATATTTTTAATAGTTTCTGGCAGCGATTATGTGAGGCCCAAACTGAAAGTAGGGGACTCTCATTTGTGGAGGTTCACAGATCAGAAGATGCATCTCAGATCACTTTCGGGAAGCTTCCGGGCAGTGCCGTTTGTCGGTGTCATCATCGTCCTTATCGCTGACAGCCATCTTCGCTGCATTATCTGCAGCCCTTTCGGGAAGTGCCAGGGGCTTGGTAGAGAGGACCCAGCCCCAGGCTCGGCCTGCCTTGGGGCAGATGCACGCCACAAGCATGGAGCCCACGGAAGAGCACCCTCAAACCCAGGCAGCCCTGTGTGCACGGCCTGGGGAGCAGGGCTGAGGGCCCTGAGACCTGAGATCGCAGACGCCAAGCCTCCTGGGGCCCCTGCTGTGTTGGGGGGGTGGACTGCGGAGGTGCCATTCTTAAATACCTGGCTGAACATTACCCCCCTGGGGAGGAGCAGTGCGCAGCCGTTACCACATTGAGAGGGAGCTTTGGCCCAGCGGTGCTGCACATAGTGAACAGGACAGGCGTCTGCAGATGGACTGCACGTGAACATTCTGCATGTCCACAGAATAAGACTTGAGGCCCTTCAATTTATTTTCTATTTTCCAATTTTTGATGGAGACATGGGTACCAAGGACTATGCCTCCACCACAAGCAGACCAACAGCATAAGGGCCCTTAAAAATGAAAACAGTAGGGTTGGGTGTGGTGGCTCACACCTGTAATCCTAGTACTTTGGGAGGCCTGAGATCAGAAGTTCGAGGCCAGCCTGGGCAACATGGTGAAACTCCATCTCTTCTAAAGTACAAAAAATTAGCTGGGCGTGGTGGCACGTGCCTGTGATCCCAGCTACTTGGGAGGCTGAGGCAGAAGAATCGCTTGAACCCGGGAGGCGGAGGTTAAAGTGAGCTGAGATCGCACCGCTGCATTCCAGCCTGGGTGAAAGAGCAAGACTCTGCCTCCAGAAAAGAAAGAAAACAGTAGTTCGGCTGCAGGTGGCGGGGACTGGGGCAAACTGATGCTCACATGTTTCACGCAAAGAGGTAGCTGCTGCTCAGCACTAGCTGACTGGGGATCTGTGAGAGTATGGGCCTAGGGCTGGCAGATCTACTTTTTTCCTAGAGAAATGTGAAATTTGGATTTTAAAAAGTGCAATCCTTTGATATTTATATGTTGACTCAGATGTGTTTGAATCACCATGTAGGCCTGACAAAGCTCGCTGGAGGGCTGCACCAGGCGTGGAGAAGCAGCTGGGACAGCAACATCTGTCACCGGTTGGTATGGCAAGGGCTGGGCACTCACAGGAGCCTGAGAAACACCAGTGTCCACCCTGCCCATCTTGGTTGTGGGGGTTGGAAGAAGCAGCAGACCCCTGCCCTCACCCATGAGTCTCAAGCATGGCCCTTGTGTTTTGGAGCAGGGGACCTAATGAACTGCTGGCTTTCTAGAATGTCTGCCCAGGGCCAAGGCCACCACCCCCTGCTGGGCATCCGGCCCCAGTGCCCAGGGCATGGAGGGGGCTGAGAGGACAGCACCAGCAGGGTGATGTTGTCTTCTCTCTCCAGGGGTTAGGCCCTGCAGCCAGGCAGACAGGCTCTAGCCTTAGCTCTGCACTCAATCCTGTGTGAGCTGAGGCTTCTGGTCCCGGAGGCCCTGCTTCTTCATCTCTAAAATTGGGTGCACGATGCCAGCCTCTTAATATTGCTCGAGGATGAGAGTAGCTTAGTGCAGAGGGCACTTAGCCTGGTGGCAGGCACGCAGTGGGTCTCCCTAAACACTACTCTCCCCCTTGCCACTCCTCAGTCCCAACTCGGTGAGCAGAGATCTCCCTGGCCAACCTCCTGGCTCAATGACCTTTGGCAGATGACTTACCCTCTGTGTGCCTCAGCTTTTCCATCTTTGGAGTGGGGGGACTCATAGCAACTACCTTGTCAGGAGTAATGGGACAATAGACCTAAGACCCTGCAAGCAGGACCGCTGCCTCTGCTCCTCAGTGCTTCCTCTGATTTCTGGTCTCAGTGAAGCCATTTGTATGTAGGGATTAGGTGTTAGACTTCAGCTTTCCTTTTCCTTCCTTCCTTCCTTCCTTCCTTCCTTCCTTCCTTCCTTCCTTCTTTCCTTCCTTCCTTCCTTCTCTCCTTCCTTCCTTCCTTCTCTCCTTCCTTCCTTCCTTCCTTCCTTCCTTCCTTCCTTCCTTCCTTCCTTCCTTCCTTCCTTCCTTCCTTTCTTTCTTTCTTTCTTTCTTTCTTTCTTTCTTTCTTTCTTTCTTTCTTTCTTTCTTTCTTTCTTTCTTTCCTCTTTCTCTCTCTCTCTGTCTCTCTCTCTTTCTCTTGACGGAGTTTCACTCTGTCACCCAGGCTAGAGTGCAGTGGCGTGATCTTGGCTCACCGCAACCTCTGCCTGCTGGACTCAAGCTATTCTCCTGCCTCAGCCTCCTGAGTAGCTGGGACTACAGGCACCCACCACCATGGCTGGCTAATTTTTGTATTTTTAGTAGAGATGGGGTTTCACCTTGTTGGCCAGGCTGGTCTTGAACTCCCAATCTCAGATGATCTGCCCACCTAGGATTCCAGACATGAGCTACTGTGCCTGGCATTTTTTTTTTTTTTTAGACAAGGTCTCACTCTGTCACCCAGGCTGGAGTGCAGTGGCACAATCTTGGCTCGCTGCAACCTCCACCTCCCAGGCTTAAGCAATCCTCCCACCTCAGCATCCCAAGTAGCTAGGACCACAGGTACACACCACCACACTGGCTAATTTTTGTATTTTTTGTAGAGACAGGGTTTTGCTATGCTGGCCAGGCTGTTCTCGAACTCCTGGGCTCAAGGTATCTGCCCACCTTGGCCTCCCAAAGTGTTGGGATTACAGGCATGAGCCACTGTGCCCCGCCCAGCTTTTCTTTTCCGTTTTTCTTTTCGTCTTCTATGACTTGGGGACCAAAGACTTCAGCTTTTCTAATTTTTTTTTTTTTTTTCAGACAGTCTCGCTCTGTGGCCCAGGCTGGAGTGCAGTGGCACAATCTTGGCTCACTGCAAACTCTGCCTCCTGGGTTCAAGCAATTCTCCTGCCTCAGCCTCCCGAGTAGCTGGGATTATAGGCACAGGTCACCATACCTGGCTAATTTTTGTATTTTTTAGTAAAGATGAGGTTTTGCCATGTTGACCAGGCTGGTCTCGAGCTCCTGACCTCAAGTGATCCGCCTGCCTCGGCCTCCTAAAGTGCTGGAGTTACAGGTGTGAGCCACAGCACCCAGGCAGCTTTTCTGATTTTTGAAAGAGGAGAGGGCACTGCTGGGCACAGAGAAATAACTCTTAAAAAAAAGGAATTGAGGTAAGTGTGCACGGTCAGAGGGCTGTCCTCCATTACATCATGTTGACACTGGCCTCTCCCTTCCCAGTGGTCCCACTGAGGCCCCAGAAGTGCAAACCTGACACCAGATCAAGCTGCCACACTGTACAACTCAGGAATGCCAGGCCTGTTTGAGTCTTTGTGAAAGGTGCTGCCCTGGCCTGTGTGTCCACATTAATCTCCTTAAACCAGACAGTGTGAATGTGGAACAAGAAACGGTGCCTCCACCACACGAAGAGCAACAGCGTAAGGGCCTTTAAAAACGAAAGCAGTATCTCAGCTTCCATGACAGGTGGCAATAGGAAGTGGTGGGGACTTTGGCAAACTGGTGCACATATGTTCCACGCAGGAAGGTGGCTGCTGCTTGGTGCCTGCTGACTGGGGCTATGTGGGAAGTTTTTTTTTTTTTAATTTTTATTTTTTTTTGAGACAGAGTCTCACTCTGTCACTCAGGCTGGAGTGCAGTGGCACGATCTTGGCTCACTGCAACCTCTGCCTCCCGGGTTCAAGCAATTCTCCTGCCTCAGCCTCCCGAGGAGCTGGGACTACAGGCGCTCACGACTACGTCCAGCTAATTTTTAGTAGAGATGGAGTTTCACCATATTGGCTGGTCTGGTCTCAAACTCCTGACCTTGTGATCTGCCTGCCTCGCCCTCCCAAAGTGCTGGGATTACAGGCTTGAGCCACCTCTCCTGGCCAGGAAGTTTAAACCGTGTCAGTGGCTTGATCTCCCTGTGCCTCATTTTCCTCACCTGAAAGTGGGGATCACACCAGTAACTTCTGCGTGCAGTTGTTGTGAGAATCAATTAAGCCCAGCACTTGAAGCTGTGCCCTGCTATGTAAGTGTTACTATGACCATTTAATCTTCCCTCCACTGGGACATCGGTCTGTGCCCACAGGCGACAGTGGAGGGGAGATGTGTCCTGTAACCAAATGGATCAATAATAATGCTGTAATAGCAAGTAACTTGCTGTGTGCAAGGCCCTTTCATCTATATTATCTCATTTCATCTTCATGCTCGTCCTGGGAGTTCTCAACCCTAGGTTACAAAGAGGAAACAGGCACAGGGCAGAGGTCTGCCTGGAGGTGGCAAAGGCCGAGTCACTGCTGTTTCCAGCTCGGTGGTTGGCCCGATGCTGAGCAGGCTGGGAATGTTCCTTATAAGCAAAAGCACCGCTGCTCCAGTGAAGCGGCTCTGGTCCGGGATGTGATGGGATGTTCTGGAGCAGACACAGTTTTGTCTTTCTGAGTGTTTTCTCCCTAAAGGGAAGGGGCTCTGGGAAAAGGTAGAAGGGACGATCCTCAGAAGACTACAGGACTCTGCTCATCAATTTCATTTTCCTTTTGGTGCCGAGGGGAGGAAAACCATGTTTCCTGAGCATCCACCACACATCAGACACCACCAGCACATCCAGCCTCAGTGTTGCTAACCCTCCCGGCAGGCCCCACTGCATAGTGTGACGCACTTGGGGAGGGCTGAGACTTGGAGCTGAAGTCCCCTGCCCAAAGGCATGCTGGGCCTTGAGCCAGGCCTGCATCACAGATGGGAGACCCTGGTATTTCTGCTGCACTCCAAGGGGGTGGAGAGAGACCTCCTTGGCCAGTGTGCTTCTCCTGTGTGCTCCTATTCTATGGGACTCGCCTCCCTGGATGAAGTCCTCCTTCTCAGGCCCAGCTCCCCGTGTGCTGCAGCGAGGGCCCTGTGATGGTTCCTCTCGGGGGGCCCAGGAAGCAGCACCCAAGGACACATGTGGATCCTGAGTCTCCCTCACCCTCTTGCAGGGGCTTGTCTCATTTCCCCGATCTGTGCTGTGGCCTCAACTCTTGGAATGCCTCATCTGATCATGGCAAAGTTAATGAGGCTGCAAGTTGCTTCTGTGTTTTTAAAAACTGAAATCTTGATTGAGATGATTGTAGATTCACATGCAGTTGTAAGAAGTAATACAGAGGAATCCCATGTACCGCTCACCCAGTTTCCCCTGACAGTGACATCTCATAAAACTGCAGTGGGACACACAGCCAGGATATTGATATTAATTCAATCGTCCTATCTTCTGCAGGTTTCCCTAGCTCTGTCTGCACACCCATGGTGCGCCCGTATGTGTGTGTGTGCACGTGTGCACTGTGTATTTAGTTCTCTGCAATTCTATCACCTGTGCTGCTGTGCATATCCCACTGCAGTGAGATTACCAGCACTTCCCACACCACAGCCTCCCTCCTGTTGCCCTTGCCCATGAAACCTCAGCGCTGGGCTCCATGCTGGAGCTGCTCACACCAGCCTCTTTATGTGAGCTTTATAGCAGACCTGGAGGTTGGCACAGCTGCCCCATCGTGGGTTAGTTTGCCACCATTGTGCTGCCTGTCAGGGATGGCTAGGACAGGAGGAGCCAGTACCATCTCAGGACCATGTGACAGCCACCAGGCCTTTCCTTTTACCTTCACCATTTCTGTATTACTATTATTAGAACAGTAATACATGCTTCTTAAAAAAAATTAAAGATGACAGAAGAGGTAAAAAGTGAAAGATCTGTGTTTTTCCATCTTCCCCAGCAGGGTCCTCTGTTTGTTAGTGTAGTCTTCAAGACTTTTTCTATATATTTACAAGTATATATGTGAATATCCTATTATCTCTTCCTGTTTTTTTTAAACACATTGAAGTGCACTAGACACACTGTTATTCACTCACTTTTCATTGAATCACAAATCCTGTACATCTTTCCATGTCTCTACGTAGAGATCTTTTTCATTCCTTTCCTTTTAAAATTTAAATCTATGTTAAAAGACTTCTGTTGAATTCATGGGATTTAATATTCACAAGGCACAAAAGAGCATGCAGTGCAAGCCCCCTCCTCCCGTGGCCTGACCCCGCCCTCAGTTATGTTCTGTAGAGACAAGTATTGTCAGTTCCTTGTGGATTCTTCCAGAGAGAGGTTTTGCATACACAAGCAGATACATAGATACATCCTCCCCTTCCTTCTCATGCCCAGGGTTCTGCACCTTGGTTTCTTTTCATGGGATAGTGTTTCTTGGAGACCCATTGGTAAGCGTTTCCTCCCTCTTTTAAATTTAATTTAATTTTTTTTGAGATGGAGTCTCGCTCTGTCACCTAGGATGGAGTGCAGTGGCGCGATCTCGGCTCACTGCAACCTCCGCCTCCCAGGTTCAAGCGATTCTCTTGCCTCAGACTCTGGAGTAGCTAGGACTACAGGCATGCACCACCGCACTGGCTAATTTTTGTATTTTTAGTAGAGATGGGGTTTCACTATGGCCGCCAGGCTGGTCTTGAACTCCCGACCTCAAGTAATCCACCTATCTCAGCCCCCCAAAGTGCTGGGATTACAGGCATGAGCCACCGCACCCAGCTTCCTCCCTCTTTTTTTTTTTTTTTTTTTTTTTACAGCTGTGTAGTGTTCCATTGTAAGTGTGTATCGTAGATTATTTAAGCCGTCCCTCATTTATGCACATTTGGGCTGATTCCAGTTTTTTTTTTTTTTATTGTGTGTGCTCCAGGAGACAGAATCTTTCATGGTGGAATTCCAGACACAGAGGAAGTATTTGGGATCAGGGGCTTCCGGGTGCTCTTAGGAGCACCTGTGTCCACCTCAAGGTCAGGAGTCCTTAAGACAGAAGGAGTCCTTGCCTGGTTGTCACAGGGCAGACCCTGTGCATGTGTGTGTCAGCGTGCTTCCTTCCGGTGGCACCACAGGCCTCCTTGTGACATCTGCAGGTTGGTGACTCAGAATGCTGTTCAACATTGATCTCTGCCCTCACTTTTTCCTCTTCTCTTCTCCCTACACCCTTCCATCTGACCAACGGTGCCCAGTGTGACCTCCAGTGAAGATCTCTTGGCTTTAATAAGCCAAAAAGGTGGTCTTGAGCCAGGACAGTTAAAGTTTAGGTTCCTTATTTGGTTTATTTGTAGATAGATGGGGAGCTGAGAAGTCTGGCTAAGATTTTCACTTTGCGATCTTACAGTCAGGGCACAGTGACAGCTCCTGCTCTTCCTGGGGCAGTGCAGATAGAGCTGTAGTTCTGCTTTGACAGTTGATGAATTTTTGTGAAACTGGCAACAACTCAGGCCCAAAGAGACATTTGCAGGTTGGGCTCCTGCCTGGTTTTATGTTTACCTCCTTGATTATTTCTGGTGTGTGGGTTTTGAAAAGGGAAATCACATGCAAACAATCTCATGGATGTATCCTTAAAACGGCTCCTTTTGTCAAGTCAGGAATTTTTTTTTTGAGATGGAGTCTCACTGTGTCACCCAGGCTGGAGTGCAGTGGCGCTATCTTGGCTCACTGCAACCTCTGTCACCTGGGTTCTAGCGATTCGCCTGCCTCAGCCTCCCCGAGTAGCTGGGATTACAGGAGTGTGCCACCACGCCTGGCTAATTTTTGTAGTATTAGTAGAGATGGGGTTTCACCATGTTGTTCAGGCTGGTCTTGAACTCCTGACCTCATGATCCACCTGCCTCGGCCTCCCAAAGTGCTGGGATTACAGGCATGAGCCACTGTGCCCGGCCAAGTCATGAAATGTTTAAGTGAAGGTTCTCTCTGGAACGTGACTTCCCCACGTTGGGCCCTAGGAATGGCTTAAAGTTGGATTGTAGATTCAAAAGGTCTTGATTTTCCAGGATGTGTGGCATAGGTGAGCATAATGAAACCTGACATTCCCATTTGACCGCTGGCCCTCTTAGGACCTGACTGTCCTAAGTGCCAGGAACAGCAGCATGTCCCACTTGGTGTTCCTTTGAGGGCTGGGCTGTAGGAGCAGCTTAAGAGGGACCCCTAGTGACTGCATGGAGCGGTGTCGCCTCCGCACCCTAGGCCAGGCTGGCTCTAGCATCTGCCTGTCCTGGCAAAGGAAGGTCCTTGGGGCTTGGGCCCACAGGACTTGCCAGCAGTGTCACCCTTGCCTCCGGGACAACGGCTTCACGTGGTCTCCTCTTCCTAACGGGGCTCCCTTTCCCAGGTAAGCTTTCTCCAACAGCCTCAGCTTCCTACACCCCTAAACTCCCCTTCCTCACACTTAGCTTTTCCTCAGGGGGCCCGACTTTCCCCTCTGCAACTTCTCCACAGTGGGAGGAGCCTCCATGCAGGTTCTGGCCCCAGCCTCCCTTCTATTGAGGTCCATCTTTTTCCTTCACAGGCCCCATCTCTCTCCTTGGGGACCGTGGGGCACAGGACAGTGGAGGCCTGATCCCTATTGCATGTGGTGAATCTTAACTCAAGCCTTCAACATCCTCCTTGAAAGAGGGGGATATCAAGAGAATGAAAACATGGGCCACACAATGAGGGGAAATATTTGCAAAAGACATAGTCGATAAAGAACTATTATCCAAAATATACCAAGAATGCTTAAGACAACCATAAGAAAACAGGTAGGTGCTCTAGCTCACACCTATAATCCCAGCACTTTGGGAGGCCGAGGTGGGAGGATTGCTTGAGCCATGAGCTCAAGACCAGCCTGGGCAACATGGCGAGACCTTGTCTCTTCAAAAAATACAAAAATTAATTGGCATGGTAGTGCACACCTGTAGTTCCAGCTACTCAGGAGGCTGAGGTGAGAGGATTGCTTGAGCCTGAGATATTGAGGCTGCAGTGAGCCATAAGTGTACCACTGCACTCTAGCCTGGGTGACAGAGTGAGACACTGTCTCAAAAGAAAAAAAAAAGAAACCAAATAACCAAATTTAAAAATGGGCGAAAGATCTGAACAGACACATCAACAAAGAAGATACACAGATGATGGCAAAGTGCATAGGAAAATATGTTCAACATCATATGCCATCAGGGAAATGCAAATTAAGACAACAATGAGATACTACCACACACCTATAAGAATGGCCCAAATCCAGAACATTGACAACACCAAATGCTGGCAAGGATGTGGAGCAACAGGAACTCTCATTCATTGCTGTGGGAATGCAAAATGGCACAGCTACTTCAGAAGACGGTTTGGCAGTTTCTTACAAAACTAAAACATACCCTTACCATACAATCCGGCAATCACACTCTTTGGTATTTACCCAAATGAATTGAAAATTTATGTTCACACAAAAACCTGCATGCAAATGTTTAGAGCAGTTTTATTCATAATGCCAAAACTTGAAAGCAACTAAGATGTCCTTCAGTAGGTGAATGGATAAACTGGAATGCATCCAGACAATGAAATATCATTCAGTGCTAAAAAGAAATGAGCTATCTCAACCATGAAAAGTCATGGAGGAAGAATGCCTGTTACTAAGTGAATCTGAAAAGGTTACATGCTAGATGATTCCAATTCTATGACATTCTGGAAAAGGCAAAACTATGGAGACAGCAAAAGGATTAGTGGTTGCCAGGGGCTGGAAGGGGATGGTGGGGATAATGGATGAATAGACAGAATATGGGGGAGTTTTTAGGGCAGTGATAACATTCTATGTGATTCTACAATGGTGATTATGTGCCATTATACATTTGCCCAAGCCCATAGAATGCACAATACCAAGAGTGAGCCCTCATGGGAGTGAGGGACACTGGGTGGTGATGATGGGTCCAGGCAGGTTCATTGATTGTGCTAAATGCACCACTCTGGTGGGGATGGTGATAGTGTGTATGTGGGGGGACTGGGCATGTGTGGGGGCAGGGGGCACATGGGAACTCTGTACTTTCTGCTCAATTTTACTATGAAACTCAAACTGCTCTAAAAAATAAAGTTTATTTTAAAAACTGAAAATGAAAATGAAACAAAAGAATTTGAACATACAATCAAAGAGATTCGCTAACAGAGCTGAAAGAAGGGCATTTCTCATTCAGCGTAAATTCATGCTTCACTACTGTTCTCACTCCTTATAGTGACTCCAGATTAATATATACACATGTTTATAGATCTTCTAATGATCTGGGTGAGTATAATTACATTGCAATATTTTTTTTTTCCTCATAACAGCTTTAAGGTGTTAAACAGAAACACTTAAAACATCCTGTAATTTGGGATTTAGAAATTTTTAAATATTCTGCTGGGCATGGTGGTGGCTCATGCCTGTAATCCCAGTACTTTGGGAGGCCAAGGCGGGCAGATCACCTGATGTTAGGAGTTCGAGACCAGCCTGGCCAACCTGGTGAAACCCCATCTCTACTAAAAATACAAAAATTAACCAGATGCAGTGGCAGGCACCTGTAGTCCCAGCTACTTGGGAGGCTGAGGCAGGAGAATCACTTGAACCCAGGAGGTGGAGGTTGCAGTGAGCTGAGATCGCGCCACTGCACTCCAGCCTGGGCAACGAGAGCAAAACTTTGTCTCAAAAAAAATTTTTTTTTTTTTAATATTCTGGTGGGCCCCACAAATGGAAGTAGTTATGGCCCCTCTCCAGTGTGAAGGGCCCCACCCTCAGTCCCTTTCACAGGCCAGAGATGTCTCACCCCTCAGGCCCTTCTTCACTCCTCACGTGGTCTCCTACTCAATCCCGAGGTGGGACTCCCTCCTGTCATTCCCCATGGTGACACTTCACGTTGCTTCACCTCAACTCAGCTGGCTCTGTTGGCCCTGAGGCCCCCTGCAGAGCCCCAGCCGGTGTGCAGGGCTTCCTCCTCAGGCACTCCAGGAAGCCCTGGAGTTTCTTTCGTGCAGCTTCTCTGTCACCCCCTACGACAGCTCACAGGTCTGAGCTCGCCAAGCCGGGGGAGGCAAATGAGCAGATCTGGGCTATTCCAACTCGAGCACTCCTGATGTCACTGTGAACCTAGGTTTGTGGCATGAGAGAAAGCAGATACACCACGTGAGATGCAAAAGGTTAAATTAAAAATCCCAGGGTAGTGAATGTGATTGTCTTGTTTTTTTTTTTTTGAGACGGAGTCTTGCTCTGTCACCCAGGCTGGAGTGCAGTGGCACAATCTCGGCTCACTGAGGCC
Source organism: Homo sapiens (assembly GCF_000001405.40). Classification (NCBI taxonomy): domain Eukaryota; kingdom Metazoa; phylum Chordata; class Mammalia; order Primates; family Hominidae; genus Homo; species Homo sapiens. Next base: position 128,588,029 of record NC_000003.12, on the reverse strand, counting down.
TCCGCCTCTTGGGGTCAAGCAATTCTCCTGTCTCAGCCTCCCGAGTAGCTGGGACTACAGGCGTTGCCATCACACCTAGCTAATTTTTGTATTTTTAGTAGAGACGGGGTTTCGCCACGTTGGCCAGGCTGGTCTCGAACTCCTGACCTCAGGTGATCCACATGCCTCGGCCTCCCAAAGTGCTGGGATTACAGGCGTGAGCCACTGTGCCTGGCTGAACTTGTGTATTTTGTGCTAAGATGTTACGTGTATTTTTTCCTGGCTGTTCAATGAGAGGCCTGAAAACAAGGCCAAAGGTAAGCACCCTTATGTTCTAATTGTGTTCTCTAAACACCATTCCCCACTGAAAGAAACCAGGGGTTGGCAGACAAATGGCTGATTCCAGGTCTGGGGCAGAAGAGGAGCAAGATGAGGACATCTAGTAGCACTAGAAAGCAAGGATAGTATGCAGGTCATATAGGTTAGATGTCTATCCCTGCCCAAATCTCACGTTGCAATGTAATTCCCAATGTTGGAGGTGGAGCCTGGAGGGAGGTGTCTGAATCATGAGGCTGGATCCCTCATGAATGGCTTGGGCCATCCCCTTCATAACAAGTGAGCTCTTGCCCTGAGTTTTTGCGTGATCTGGTTGTTTAACAGTGTGTAGCACCTCCTCCGCCATTCTCTCTCTTTCTCTATCTCTCTCTCTCTCTTGCTCTCGCTCTCTCTCTTGCTGTGTGACACGCCTGCTTCCCTTCTCCTTCCACTATGACTAGAAGGATCCTGAGGTCTCCCCAGAAGCCAAGCAGATGTTGGCACCATGCTTCTTGTACAGAATTGTGAGCCAGTTTAAAACCCTTTTCTTTTCTTTCTTTCCTTCCTTTCCTTTCCTTTCCTTTCCTTTCCTTTCCTTTCCTTTCCTTTCCTTTCTCCTTTCCTTTCCTTTCCCTTCCTTTCCTTTCCCTTCCTTTTTTTTTTAGACAGAGTTTCACTCTGTCGCCCAGGCTGGAGTGCAGTGGTGTGGTCTTGACTCACGCAACCTCCACCCGCCAGGTTCAAGTGATTCTCCTGCCTCAGCCTCCCGAGTAGCTGGGATATAGGCACTCGCCACCACGCCCAGCTGATTTTTGTATTTTTAGTAGAGACAAGGTTTCACCACGTTGGCCAGGCTGGTCTTGAACTCCTGACTTCAGGTGACCACCCGGCTCAGCCTCCCAAAGTGCTGGGATTACAGGTGTGGGATTACATGCCCGGCAAAATCCTTTTCTTAATAAATCACCCAGTCTCAGGTAATTCTTTTTTTTTTTTCTTTTTTTTGAGATGGAGTCTCGCTCTGTTGCCCAGGCTGGAGTACAGTGGCGCAATCTCGGCTCACTGCAACCTCTGCCTCCCAGATTCAAGTGATTCTCACTGCCTCGGCCTCCTGAGTAGCTGAGATTACAGGCATGCACAACCATACCCGGCTAATTGTTTGAATTTTTAGTAGACCTGGGGTTTCGCCATGCTGGCCAGGCTGCTCTTGAACTCCTGACCTCAGGTGATCCCCTGCCTCGGCCTCCCAAAGTGCTGGGATTGTAGGCGTGAGCCATGGTGCCCAGCCGATTGCTGCTAATATTATAAAAGAGGCACAGGCAGCCATGATATGCCTCCTGATGAAAGAATGATTGCCACCTAGAGAGGATCTTGCCAAAAAAAAATCAGATCTGAATCCAATCAAGCATCTATAGATCCAACTACCGATTCAGGAAATGCAAAGGAGAAAGAATGTGCGGCCCGGTGACTCTCAGGCTTCCGAGTGTTCATGAGTCCCTGGCGGGCTTGCCGGGTGAAAAGTCTGGTACAGCAGGTCTGGGTGGGGCTTGAGACATTCTGCATTGCTAGCACGCTCCCCGGGGAGGCCGTGCTGCTGGCCCACAGACTACTCACCCTGAGTCGTGAGGTGTTAGATGATGCCATCATGGTGCAAACGGCAAAAGCACATCAGGATAAACTCTAGGGGATGAACAACATGGTTTTCTTCAACAAATACATTGAAAGAAAGGAAGGAGACTGGGCACAGTGGCTCATGCCTGTAATCCCATCACTTGTGAGGCCGAGACAGGCCTGGGCAACATGGCAAAACTGTGCCTGTTATCTCAGCTACTGGGGAGGCTGAGGCATGAGAATCACTTGAACCTGGGAGGTGGAGGTTGCAGTGAGCCGAGATCACATCATTGCACTCCAGCCTGGGTGACAGAGTGAGACTTTGTCTCAAAAAAAAAAAAAAAAAAAAGAATGAAAGAAAGGAAGGAAGGAGATTAAAACAGTCTTAAGACACATCAACCAGTTGCAGCAGGGGTCCTTCATTGAATCATGATTCCAAAAAAAGTGACACTTGTGAGATAATTGGAAATTTGAATACTGACCAGGTTAGTTAGCTAGGGCAAAGTACCATAAACTGAGTGGTTTCTTAGAATAACAAAAACTTATTTTCTCCCCATTCTGGGGCTAGAAGTTAGATATCAGCTGTTGGCAGGGCCACGCTTCCTGGAAAGGCGCTTGGGAAGGTCCCTCCTTGCCTCCCCCAGCTTCTGGTGGCCACAGACTTTCCCTAGCGTGTGGCAGCATCGTTTCTCATGTGGCGTTCTCCCTGTGTCACTTTGCTAGTCTTCCCTCTGTGCGTGTCTGTTTCTGTCTAAATTTCCCTTTTTGATAAGGACACTAATCATGTTGCATCAGGGCCCACCCTAATGACCTCATTTAAGCTTGGTTACCTCTGTATGGACCCTTTCTCCAAATAAGGTCACATTCTGAGGTCCGGGGAGTGGGACTGCAGCATAGCTTTCTGTTGGGGGGTGGGGACACAACTTAACCCATTACACTAGATTTCTGAGACTGTCAAGGAGATGGCACTAATTTTCTAAGGTGTCATAATGGTATTATGGTTATGTTTAAAAAGTTTCTGTTTTCTTTTAGATAAACATCCAAAAGACTTACAAATGAAATGTTATGATATATACAGTTTGCTGTAGAATGATACGGGGGCGGCAAATGTGCAGCAGTAATAGACGAAGTGACCCTGGCTCATGTCCATAATTGTTGAACCCAGGGGTATATGGGGTCAGTATATTATTCTGTTTACTTTCATAAAAGTTTGATGTTTTTTATAATAAAGGTAAAACAAAAAGAGAAAAACGAATAGCAAGCAACAAAAACAAGAAACTTTCCACAGAGCTGACTCGGCCCCTCCCTTGACCCTCCTTGTACTCCTGGAGAGGGTCCCCACGGGCCTCCCCCTTGCACAGCAGCCTGGCTGGGGCTTCCCTCCTAAGTCCCCCATCCCCAGGCTTCCTTGTGCCCAGAAACTTCCCCTGAGCCCCGTTGCCACCAGGGCTGCCTCCACGTGGTGTCCCTGCTCCCAGCCCGCTCTCGCCTGCACAGGAAGAGCCAGTGCAGTCTTTGCCCTCATGGGGGCAGCCACCACTCAGGGAAGAGATGCCCGGCCCTGGCACAGCTGCAGGCTGGAGCTCCGCCCCAGTGGGTACTGCTGTGAGCCAGTCTGCTACATCCTCGTCTTCGGCCGGCCTGATGGCCTTTGAAAGGACAGTGGCTGGGATGTGCTTCTCTTGAGAAGGAAAATTCAGCCTGACTCCACTTGGGTCAGCTCTCCTCGCCTGGCTCTTTGAGGGGCTCTGGGCCAGGCCTCAAAGGCACGGCATTAAGGCCCAAAGATCCCCTGGGAGGAAGGCCCCATCAGCAGAGGGAAGGAGGCTACTAGCGAGTGCCCCCTAAGAACTCCTGTGATCTCTGTCCCAGGGCCCTTCCCCTCCACGGGGAGAGAGCCTTCTAGAACCATAAACAATGACTACAAGACAAACAGCCTTGTGACCAATGATGGGAGCTTGCAAGTGTTTACACTGCGTAGATCAACACCTTTAAGAAAAAAACTTAACAATGAAGCAAGTCTTAGGTAAAATGTCCCCTGACCTCTTTCGGGTCACACACGGCATCTCCCAGGCCTTTCTCCAAGGGCATCTTCCGAGGCTGACCCCTTCCCCACCATGATCCCACAGGGCTGGAAGGGTGGAAGGGAGGAAGTGCAGGGAAAAAGGATGTAGCAAGGGGTCTCATGCACTCTATCCATCCATGTGAATATCCCTGTCCTCTATAAATAGGAAACCATCCAGGCAGATGTTTTTTTTCTGCAAGTGTAGACTGCGAACTGCATGCTGCGGCCTGAAGAATCCCACCAGCTAGTGACGCCCCAAGCACACCCTGTTCTCCCACCAGGGGTTTCCACCCTGTCTCCACCCTGGAATCTCAGAGAGTTTCCAAATGCCCCTCCCCAGATGGAGGAGATCAGAACCACTTTCTAGTTTCCCCAAGTGATGGCAAGGTGCAGCTAGGGTAGGTGATCAGGAAGGTCTCTGTCCAGCATGAGATGAGGTGCCCGAAGGCGATGGAAGGCAGGTGCCAAGGCACATTTCTGGTGGATGGAGACTAGTAATAAAATGACAGGGACAACGTTGGGGTAAAGGGTCTCGGATTGGGGGAGGATGAAACCAGGGTGGAGAACTTGAATAACGGATGACATTCAAAAAGCACCCACTCTGCAGGGGCCTCTTTCAGGCTGCTCTTTTTTGGCGTGACTTTGGCTCCACAATGGCCCAGGCGGAAGAGCCACAGGGATGCTGAGGCCACTGCAACCTTCAAGGTGGGCGTTTCCAGGCAGAGGAGGCAAGAACAGTTGGTGGGTGGGCCAAGAAGGACCTTGCATCCTGTCTCAGCGTCTGTGGACTTTGCCTTATTTGTGAATTTTAAGCAGCATCAGATTTGTGCTTTAGAAAAATTGCTGCCATCTGAAGCGGGGATGGGTTGGGGAGAGACTGGAGTCAGGAAAACCAAGTGAGGAGGCTGTTGCCTTGTTGGGAAATAACACCACCATGCACTGCAGCTGGGGCTGGAGGTTTGGCGGGGAGTGGCTAAGGTGGGGAGTGTGGGTGGGATGCAGAGATGGGGAGATCTCCCTTTCCCGGAAGGCATCTGGATGTTCCCAGAGTTCCCCACAGCTCTACAACTCGGGCAAAGAAGGTCAGCCCCTTTTTCTAAGACGGTCCTCACTCCCAGCCTCTTTCTTCAAGGCTCGGTGCCTCCATGCTCCTTGCCACCATTCATGCTGGTGGAGGAGGCTGCTTGTGGGTTGCTGTGAATATCTCAACTCTTCCTAGGGGAGGTGAGAAGCCTCCTGCACACAGGCTATGTTGCCGCCACTCTGTGTCACCAGAAACCACATCAGAAATTTCCCAAGATTTGATCAACATCAAATTGATGACACTTTGACCTGCAATCTGCCTTGGTATGTAAATATAGCTGTTCTTTCAGATTAGACGTCGACAGGCTTCTATTTCTCCTGCACAATCAAATTGGTTTGATTTGCTGTTTCAGAAACCATGTTCTTTACAGTTGATCCCCACACATCTAGTAATCCCTGTGCTTAAGAGAGAATGCAAGAGTCCGGAGACACAAGTAAAGCCCAAATGGCCAGAGCCAGGATTCCTCTTAGGGAGGGAACCCCCATTACTCAACAAAACACCTTCTTGAAGTATGCTGGAAGGGGATGAGTTGTGGTTTGGAAGGAGACGGGAAAACAGAGCTAACTGTCATATGAAGAAATAAGCTATGATTTGATGGCCGGGCCCGGTGGCTCACGCCTGTAATCCCAGCTGCTTGGGAGGCTGAAGCAGGCGGATCGCTTGAGCCCAGGAGTTCGAGACCAGCCTGGGCAACAGGGCAAAACCCCATCTCTACTAAAAAATACAAAAATTAGCCAGGCGTGGTGGTGCGTGCCTGTAATCCCAACTGCTCAGGACGCTGAGGCAGGAGTATTGCTTGAGCCCGGGAGGCGGAGGTTGCAGTGAGCTGAGATTGCGCCACTGAACTCCAGCCTGGGCAACAGAGTAAGACTCTGTCTTAAAAAAAAAAAAAGTAAGAAAGAAAAAAGAAAGAAGCTGTGATTTGGGAGGGCAGAGAGCTGAAGAGAGGGGGAGGGGTGGGAGGAAGGGGGCGCCAGGCCACGGAAAAGGGAGCCACAAACGAATCTTGGTGATGGGGTTATTGCTGGGCTCCTAATTGCTTTTGTGAAGGGATAATAAAAACTTAGAACACCAATTCACTCTGCCAAAAGAAAAAAAATTAAGCTGAAAGCTGAGTTATGCAAGAAGCTGCCTTTCCTTTTGTTCCTAAGCAGATAGTGACAGATAAAAAGTTAAAGATCTCCACAGGTAGCTCCTCTCCATTCACCTTATCTTATAGTGAGCACCAGGCCAGTTCATTAGTGACTATGTGCCCCTACCTGCTTCTTTTCTCTTGCAACATTTGGATTCAGTAATGAGACCACACCTTCCCTCTGTCCCCTCCAGCTGGCTTTTCCTTTTTAAATATTGGAGTGCTCAGAATCATCTTTGGAAAAAGGCATAGACTTGTCTCTTAGGCACACATCCTTAACCCTGGCAAAATAAACTTCTAAATTGATTGAGGCCTACCCCAGATACTCTCTGGTTTACACTTCTATAAATCTCTGTGAGTTAGGGTGTTCCTACTTGATGAAGGTTTACACTGCTATCATTAAAGTGCCCCAAATCATCAGTAAAATCCACTCAGGTGTCTTAGGTGAGCCATCTTGGGAGCACAGGGTGGATTAAGGAGAAGCAGTGCAGTTCTACCTTCAGGCTGGTGCAGAGATGAAGGACGTGGCAGATGAGTGAGAACGTGGGTCCACACGGAGTCACAGGTGATCAGGAGAAGAGCAGCCACCAGGGCACCAGGAGAAATCTTGGAGAGAGCCCTGGACAGGCCACAGGATGAAGGCTCGGTGGCATGGCCCCACATTGAGCTTCCAAAGTCAGGGCGACCCCGAGGAACACCTGGGTTTTATATAGATATATACAGAAGCCACCACATACACCTGCCCACCAGGATAAAACTACCCTGTTTCAAGGTACATATTAAATAAACTCAGCTCAAAGATAATTTCTACAGTAGGACTCAGGATTTTTTTTTTTTTTTTTGGTTTTAAGAGACTGACTCAACCCAAACTGACATAAAGAGGGAAAAATAATTTATTGGTTCTTTCATTTAGAAAGTCAGGGGTAGTTGGCTGGGCGCGGTGGCTAATGTCTGTAATCCCAGCACTTTGGGAGGCCAAGGCGGGCGGATCACGAGGTCAGGAGATCGAGACCATCCTGGCTAACATGAAGAAACCCCGTCTCTAATAAAATAAAAAAATTAACCAGGCGTGGTGGCGGGCACTTGTAGTCCCAGCTACTTGGGAGGCTGAGGCAGGAGAATGGCATGAACCCGGGAGGCAGAGCTTGCAGTGAGCAGAGATCGCGTCACTGCACTCCAGCTTGGGCGACAGAGCGAGACTCTGTCTCAAAAAAAAAAAAAAAAAAAGAAAATCAGGGGTAGTTGCAGGCATGGCGGACTTAGGGGCTCATTGGGTCAGCAGGACTCCATGTTTCTCAGATCTGGGCTTCCTTCTGAATTCTTTCCTGTTGGCTCCATTCTCAGGCAGCCTGTCCCCTCCTGGTGGCAGGTGGTGATAATGAAATGCAGAGAATTTTGATGTGTCCAGAGGAAATTAAACCACACACACACACACACACACACACACACACACACACACACACACACACACACACAGAGAAATATTCCTGAATAATGCCAACAGAAACTCGTTCCCAGGGTGTAGCTGGAGAGAGTTTCCATGAACAGAAACGGGGTTTGCCTTTGGAGAGAGTTCTCTTGTTTCAAGAGAAGAGAAAAACTGGCAGTAGACCCAAAGCAAGAGGAAATTTAAGCAGGTGGGAGGTCCTTTGGGTCAGAGTCAGCCTGGTCTAAGCCTGGCAGGACAACCTGCTTGCTTCCCAGCCTCCCTTGCAGCTAGGTTGGTCATGTGACCCTGTTCTGGCCAATGAGGCACAAGCAGAAGCCAGCTTGGAGGAATCCAGGCAGAACTTTTGCTGTCCTTGGAAAGCAGGATGGTAGCTGAGGCCTGGGCCAAGCCTTCCCCTCTTGTCCTTGAGCACTTGAGTTGGGTTCACCAATGCTGCTTCTTTCCTCCTGGACCAAAGCCATGCCTCGGAGTCCCAGCTTAGGAAAAGGTTTAGTTCTTGCTAAACCACACCTATCTATCTATCTATCTATCTATCTATCTATCTATCTATCTATCTATCTACCTATCTATAGAGAGAGATAGAGATGTAGATATATAATAGATATACACAACATATACATATATACACACATCTATGTATGTATTCTTAATTCTTAATTGGTGTGGTTTAGCAAGAACTAAACCTATATATGCAACTCTCTCTCTCATATATATATACATATATGCAACACACACACACATATATATATGCAGAGAGAGAAAGACTTGCTCTGTAGCTCAGGCTGGAGGGCAGTGGTGCTATCATAGCTCACTGCAGCCTTGAACTCCTGGGCTTAAGCAATCCTCTTTTTTTTGAGATGGAGTTTCGCTCTTGTTGCCCAGGCTGGAGTCCAATGGCATGATCTCGGCTCACTGCAACTTCCGCCTCCAGGGTTGAGTCTTGCCTCAGACTCTCGAGTAGCTGGGATTACAGGCGACTGCCACCATGCCCAGCTATTTTTGTATTTTTAGTAGAGACAGGATTTTACCATGTTGGCCAGGCTGGTCTCGAACTCCTGACCTCAGGTGATTCACCTGCCTCGGCCTCCCAAAGTGTTGGGATTACAGGCATGAGCCACCGCACCCGGCCTCAAGCAATCCTCTTGCTCAGCCTCCCAAAGCACTGAGATTACAGGTGTGATCCACCACAGCCAGCCAAGAATATATATATATATATATATTCTTCAATTACAAAAGCAATACGTACTCAATGTAAAAAGTTAAAATAATACCGAAGTATGTATAATAAGTGCAGTTCCCTCACCTCCCCTTGTCTCACTAAATCCTGACACTGCAGAGGTAGCCACGGTTCATGGTTTTGGGGGAATCCTCCAGACCTTTTTCTGTGCTATATATATATATATATATCCATGTTTGTGTATATGCGTATATATGTGCCATCCTGCAGCTGTCCCCACTGAAGTCCGTGATGTCCACACACATGAACATATCTAGATCAGCCTCATTCTTTTGTGTGGCTCCAGATGGCCCCATGCTGGGTTCAGTCTTAACTTATTTAGGTATTCCTCTGTGAGTGGACACTGAGGGCATCATTTTTTTCCATGAGAATACTAGTATTTGTAGCTTCATTGTCTTATTTTCCCAAGAAAAAAGAAGCCACTGTGATTGTTCTCATCAATGACATGTAGTGCGTGGCCGCTGTGTACAGGACAGTGTGCTCTACTGAGGGGTGTGGGACAGAACGGGATGGGATTGCCCGCTCCTGAGGGCTTGGCTGAGTGGTGGGGAGAAGTATGTCAAAAGGTGAGGTCACCGCCTGAGGACTGAGTGAGGTCGCCTGGGAGGAGGGGCATGAACCCAGGTGTTTGCTGGGGTGGGCCTCATGGCAGGAGAGGCCTTCGGTGCTGGCTCTGGAACCCTGGGGAGGAGTCTGTGGAGGGAGGGGTGGTGGGGTGGAGGTGCCCTGGGTCAGGGAACAGGGTGGCCAGAGATGCCGAGACAGGAAGAATGAGCAGACCTGGTTCTTCAGGTGTGCCCAGGAAGCACCGTTCTTTCTGACAAAAGTGAAATTAAGGTGCCAGAACTCATTATCTGGCCTTTCTCCGCGTTGCGAGGCCCATCCTTGCTTCTGTGGTGTTATTTTCCCTCTCTCTCTCTCTTTTTTTAAAATAAAAATAACTATGAAGGGTTCAAGGCGCCTTTCTTTCACAACATCTCAGCTCTTAGGTCCCAGCGGTGCATCGGTGGCAAAGAATGTCCCCTGTCACCACGGCTGCTTGCCTTTATTTGAAGTGTCTGGCTGAGCTATCTCCCTGTGACATGCTTCTTTCAGAGCGAATTATTCATCCCCCCACAGCCCCCACCTCTCCCGGCCCTGGGCTCTGTTCATCCCCGCAGGTGTGAAGACAGGCCCGGCCTTTGTGTGTGAGGAGCCTGCCCCCTCCTTGGCTCCCCTCTTGGATCCCCTCCAGGCCTGTCAAGGCTTTCCTCGCTCCAGGCCCTTGCGGTGTGCGGGGCTGATGTCTCCTGTCATCCAGGGAGGGCTGCGCAGCCTCCAGCCCGCCTCTAATCTCCCCCTCCACAAAGGGCAGCCCTGTCACTCAGGGAGGCAGTGGGGGAACCTGGATCCGGGGCCACACAATGAACCATCCACCCTGCCTGAGTAGGAGGAAGCAGCCTAGCAGAGGTGGCTGTTGGGGCAGAGGGCAGGTGGGCAGGGGCCTGGGCAGAGAGGGTGAGAGCTCAGCCATCTTAAGCCACCGAAGTCAGGGAATCAAGCTTATTTTGGTGGAGTACACAAGTGGCATAGGCCAGGTGCAGTGGCTCACATCTGTAATCCCAGCACTTTGGGGGGCTGAGGCAGGAGGATGGCTTGAGGCCAGAAGTTCAAGACTAGCCTGGGCAACATGGCGAGACCCTGTCTCTGCAAAAAATAAAAAAAAAAAGCTGGATGTGGTGGCGCCCACCTATAGTCCCAGCTACTCAGGAGGCTGAGGTGGGAGGGTCACTTGAGCCCAGGAGGTGGAAGCTGCAGTGAGCTATGATTGCACCTCTGCACTCCAGCCTGGGTGACAGAGCGAGACCCTGTCTCCAGCAAACAAATAAATAAAACAAGTGGCACAGAGCAAGCTGGCCAATCCTGGTAGTGCTGGCTAATGGTTAGTGCAGAGGGGGCAGTCTCGGTGGCTGACTTGGAGCCATCCTACAAAAATGAGGGAGGTACCTATAGAAATAGGGTCAGCTTCCCCATCCTCCACCAGACTCCAGAATTCTTCCTCAGCCTCCTGCATTAGTGGTGATGAAAAACCGATGCAGGGATGCAGGGGTGGAGTGAGCAAGCCGAGACCAGCCTGGTGCCCAGGGTCAGGAGCCTGCTCTTTTGAGCCTCAGTCCCCTGTGTGTCCACAGGAAGCACAGTGCCTGCTGCCTGGGGGGGCCTGAAGACACAGGATGGGTCCCCGTTGTGGAGGTGCCCGGGCAGCACCTGCATATAGCAGGTGCTCACTGTTGGTGTTGGCATGGTGGCACAGAGCAGAGGTGGAAAGCAATGTGCCGCCTGCAGACAGGCTTTTGTGACCTACCCCGTGTCTAGAAATGTATCTTCTGAGTTACTAACAAGGAAAAATGTGGCCACACAAGGTCCACCTTACTTCAAGGCATGGCAGGCTGGGTAGAGCAGTGCTGCCCTTGGAGATGGCACAGGGTCCCCCCTGCCTGCACCCCTGGGTTCTCCTCCACCTCCTGCCACTCCCCCTTTGTACACCAGCTGGTGACACTCAGTCACAAGCTTTCGTTGGCTCCTGAGACATTTGAGGTTGAGAGCTCTGGGACCTGGAGCAGACTCGGGTTTGCATCCCACCACTTCATTCGCGACCTGTGTAGTCAACCTTGCTGAGCCTCAGCGTCCTTATCTGTAAAATGGGACTCACGATCTTCACCAAATGAAAACAAGCATACATCACCTGCCCCTGAACCTGGAAGAGAGAGCGGATTCCCAACCAAAGAGAAGACACATTGCTGAGGCTGCCTCACCATGGCTCACTGCTGACAGCATGGTGTGCACTCCACAGGGCTCAGCTTTCCCCGTGGGTGGGCAGCGTGACCCGGGCAAGCAGGCAGGGCTGCCAGGGCCTTGGCCTCGGCCCAGCACGGAGCGGGCAGGGGCTGTGGCCAAGGGTCTCTGGAGGAGGCCACGTCTCTGCAGAGGAGACCCCTCCTGAAACACCCTCCAAGCTGGAAGCTGGCCCCTCAGAGGGGAAAACAGGTGCCGTGGGCGACTCTGAGCTCCCCACTGTAAATTAATCCACCCGAGCAATTGGGAACAGAAAGTGCTTCCTGTCCCGGCCTGAGACAATGGACAATAAACCCAGCCTGCTGGGCCCCGGCCCCTGACCCCAAGGCTTCAGGAAGAGGCTCCCACACGCACACACCTGCGGTGTGTGAAGCTCGCATTGTTCTGGGCTCATGGCCGAGTAGGGCCCCTTGCTCTCAGGAGCCTCCAGCTCTTTCTGGACCTGAGCCCTGGGAGCCTTCACTCTGCCCAGATGTGCTTCCTGTGGAAGGAGACCCCCAGATGACACAGGTGAGCAAGCGTCCTTGGGTTCGGGTTCATTTGATGCGTATTCTTGAAGCCCCTACCACGCACGGGGTCTGCACACCAGCAGCACAGTACAAAGCCTTTCCAGAAAGGCTGTGGTCTCACACCTAGCACCAGACAGCACACGGGCCTGCCCTTCTCCTCCTAGCACACAGACAGGGCCATATACATCCTGCTGGGGAAGGCCCGGTGGAGGCGGCTCCTTGGAGTGAAAGGCCCTGAAATGCCAGAGGCTCCTGGGATGTGAGGTTCCTTCTGGATTTCTGAGGCTGATAACTGAATACTCTCGACTCGAATAGATGATGAGCTTGTGGAACATCGTGTGCATGTGCACGCCACCACGAAGTTAGTAATCAATCTTGCTTGCTGGGGCCATGTGTGTGTCCACATTTTGTCTTTTAATTTTTTTTGAGATGGAGTCTTGCTCTGTCACCCAGGCTGGAATGCAGTGGCATGATCTTGGCTCACTGAAACCTCTGCCTCCCGGTTCAAGCAATTCTCCTGCCTCAGCCTCCTGAGTAGCTGGGATTACAGGTATGCGCCTCCATGCCCAGCTAATTTTTGTATTTTTAGTAGAGATGGGGTTTCACCATGTTGGCCAGGCGGGTCTTGAACTACTGACCTCACGATCTGCTCACCTCAGTCTCCTAAAGTGCTGGGATTACAGGCATGAGCCACTGCGCCTGGCCTCTTGTCTTTTAATTTTATTTTGAGTTGGGGTCTCACTCTGCCACTCCGATTGGAGTGCAGTGGTGCTATCATAGCTCACTGCAGCCTCAACCTCCTGGGCTAAAGCAATCCTCCCACCTCAGCCTCCTGAGTAGCTGGGACTACAGGCATGCACTGCCATTCCTGGTTAGGTTTTAAACATTTTTGTAGAGATGGGGTCTTGCTACGTTGCCTGGGCTGGTCTGAAACTCCTGGGCTCAAGTGATCCTCCCACCTCGGCGTCCCAAATTGCTGGGATTACAGGCATGAGCCCCACACCCACCTCAATGTCTTTTAAAGTCATTAAAAGACAATTATTTTGTCTTTTTTTTTTTGAGACAGAGTCTCTCTCTGTCGCCCAGGCTGGAGTGCAGTGGCACGATCTCGGCTCACTGCAAGCTCCACCTCCCGGGTTCACGCCATTCTCCTGCCTCAGCCTCCTGAGTAGCTGGGACTACAGGCACCCGCCACCACAGCCGGCTAATTTTGTTTTTGTATTTTTAGTAGAGATGGGGTTTCACCGTGTTAGCCAGGATGTTCTCGATCTCCTGACCTCATGATCCGCCCGCCTTGGCCTCCCAAAGTGCTGGGATTACAGGCGTGATCCACTGCACCCGGCCTCATTTTGTCTTTTAATGAATAATGGACTAGCACAGCCTTAGAGAAGGAAAGAGCAGAGGTTCTATGTCCAGTCAGTGGGGAACTGGGAGATTCATTCCGAAAGGCTTTGAGGAGGAACCGGGCCCGGGTCACTCTTTGAAAGGGTGGCTCTCCCATTTTTCCTGCAGAAAATCTGAGCAGTGGGTGAGGCCGAGGGACTGCCCAGAGCCCCAGAGCACGGCAGTGGGCAAGCAGTCGTCCCTGTCCTGGGCATCCCTGTGGCCATGGAGCTCCTGGGTGAGCAGCTGCTCTGAGACAAGTCTGGTGAAGAATACAGCAGGACTCCTGAACATTCTTCCTTAAATGCTTATCTGTGGAAACCAGAACTGCCCTTGGCGCGTGGCTCGTGGACGTGCTGGGTGGCTGGGTGGGGCGGGTGCACGGGTGGAGCCTCAGCTCTGTTTCTTTCTCTGGGTAGTGTCCCCACTGCTGGGCTTCTCCCGCTCTCAGCTCTCTGGGGAGGTCCCCTGTGAAGGGCCTGTCTTTCCTGTCCCCTCCCTCGGATCATTAATGAACCACTCTCTCTCTCTTTTTCCTTTTCAGTGATTGGGCTGTCGGAATCAAAGAGGCCCTCCGGTGACTCAGGCGTTTCCCATTGCCCTATTCTAGCATCCTCTACTCTTAGCACTGAGAGTTTTTCACGTCCTATTTGGAACTGATAGGAAACCCTTTCATTGTTTCGCTACATGGATATTAGCACTGATGAAGGAAGCGCTCCATCAGATAGTGGTCCGCTGCAGTGAGCTGGTTTCCAGCACGAGCCTGCCTAGACTCAGCGTCTCCCGCCTCCAGGGACCCCCAGACTCTCAGCCCCTAGGCACCCTGGGCCAGGGTGGTTGGAAGCTTCTAGGCATTGTGGGGTCTCTGGCACCAGAGACACTCGGGGGTCTGGGGACCGAGTTTGGGCCCTGTACCCACCCACTACCATTTGACATGGTGAGAGAGAGAGAGAGAGATGACGAGCTCAGGCAGGGATGGCTTCTCCAGTGCCCACAATGTGCCAGGACTCTGCTGTGCCACTGTGGGCCTTTCCTCACCCCTCCCTCCCAGACATCAAGCTCTGGTTTCCAGCTGTGTTCCTTGAAGCCGTCGGGCTCTCTGGTGACAGCCACAGAGCCTCTGAGCAACTTTGCTTTCAGCTATTTTCCATGACCCAGTCCTGGGTAAGGCTTCATTTGAATGAAGGGTTCTGCTGCTAAAAAAAAAAAAAAAGTCGGAAAAACCACCTGATCACAACTTTCTAAGGCAGCTATTTTGTTTTGCAATGAGATATTTGCAGTGGTTTCACTAAAGCCTGATCTTCCCACTGGACTGTCGGCCTGTGAGGATGAGGACGTGTCTATCACAGTCAGTATGCCCTGAATGAATGGGTGTCACCCTCCTCCCCCTAGTGAGAGATAAGGACCTCAGGCTCAGAGAGGTTATGTGGTTTTCTCAAAGCCACACAGCAAGATTTGGCAGGTGAGCCTTACTTCTCTTCCTGGGCTAGCCTGCGGTCAGGGGCAAGGCTTTTGGATGATAAGAGTGAGGTGCAGTCAGCTCTAGATTGGGGGTGGCAGAGGGAAAAGGAGGGGGGGTTCCCAAAGCACCATTCTGCTTTCTGTGAGAAGGGATTTCCCCTCAACAACTTCTGTCCCATTTTTCAGAGCTAAAGTGACAAGCCACATCCACGTCCCTGGTTAAAGGTGCTCCCCCTGCAGGAAACACATGTGCACTTGGGATGGAGCCCTCTGTGCGGGAGCGGCTTGCTCACCTCTCAGCCAGTGCCAGCTGGGTGGGTCTCTCCCAGCTCTCGAATCCTAACTGCAGCCACCATTTATTCAGCACCTGTTATGCACCAGGCACTTTATGTATCTTATTGCTAACCCTCAAAACAAGCCCTTCCCAACATAAGCGCTTTTGTGCCAAACCCATAGGTCTGAAACTGAGACCCAGAGAGGCTGAATGACATGCTCACAGTCACACAGCAGGCAGTGGCAGGCAGTAGTGAAGTCGGCTCTATGGATTGTATACCTGGGCTCCTCCAGGCCTCTGCGCTGCCCGGCCTGATACCCTAGCAGGTTGGGTATTCAGAGGTGCCTGGGGAGCTTGTTAAAAGTGTAGATTCCAGGCCTCCTTACCCTTAGAGACTGTGACTCAGTATCCGGGGCAGGGCCCAGGCATCTTCATTTTGACAGGCCGTCCCGGTGGCTGCCATGCGCAGGCAGGTTTTAGGAACATCATGGGTGGATGATTCCTGGTCTCCCCAGCCCTCTTGACCTGGCCACAGAGAGCTGCCTTTCCAGCGAGGTCAGCCGAGATGACGCTGCCGGGAGAGCAGTCTTCTCTGTAGTCCCCGGAGGGGACTCCTCGGAGGAAGGATGAGTCTGAGGGTTCCGGTTGTCTTGGCCTGAGACCACCCAAGGTCTTTTAACAGAAAAAAACTTTACCCATTCCCAGTGTTGATTTCATACCTTTATTTTATATATCTATTTTTATTGTGGTGAAATACATATAACAATAAAATTGCTGGGCGTGGTGGCTCACGCCTGTAATCCCAGCACTTTGGGAGGCCGAGGCGGGCGGATCACGAGGTCAGGAGATCCAGACAATCCTGGCCAACATGGTGAAACCCTGTCTCTACTAAAAATACAAAAAAATAGCCGGGTGTGGCTGCACACACCTGTAGTCCCAGCTACTCAGGAGGCTGAGGCAGGAGAATCGGTTGAACCTGGGAGGTGGAGGCAGCAGTGAGCCGAGATCGCACCACTGCATTCGAGCCTGGGCGAAAAAGTGAGACTCCATCTCAAACAAAACAAAACAAAACAAAACAAAACAAAACAATAAAATTTACCACCATAACCATTTTAAAGTATAGAGTTCATTGGCATGAGATACAATCATATTGCTGTGCAACACTCACCACTGTTCATCTCCAGAATGTTTTTCATTGTCCCAAACTGAAATTCTGCACCCATTAAACACTAACTCCCCATTCTCCCTCCTCCAGCCCCCGGCAACCACCTTCTACTTCTCTGTGTCTGTGAATGTGACTGCTGGGGATCTTATATGAATAGAATCATGCAGGACTTGACTTTGTGTGCCTGGCTTATTTCACTCAGCATCATGTCCTCCAGGTTCACCGATGTGGCAGCAGAGCTCAGAACCTCCTTCCTTTTTAAGGCTGTGTAATAGTCCATTGTGGGACAGGCTGCATTCATTTATCCATTCATCTGTAGATGGACACTTGAGTTTCTCCCACCTTTTGGCTATTGTGACTTTGGCTTATTTTAACATTATATAAAATGAGGCCAGGCATGGTAGCTCCTACCTGTAATCCCAGCACTTTGGGAGGCTGAGGTGGGAGGATTGCTTGAGCCTAGGAGGTTGAGGCTGCAGTAAGCTGAGACCAAGCCATTGCACTCCAGCCTGGGCCACAGAGCAAGACTCTGTCTCTAAAAAGTCAGCCAACCAATCAATCAATCGTTCAATCAATCTGTGCTCACCTAAAGCTAAACATTGGTACTGTCTACTCCTACAACAAGATGAAAATGAAAGATAAGTTAAATCCAACCAAAATTACAAGATGAATAAAATTCAAGTGAATGGTATTAGTCTATGCCAATGAATAATGCTGTCTTGCTTGAAACAGGAATGTGGTGCTGATGGGCTCAGTGCAGCTTCCGTGGAATCTGGCACATTCTGTAACCACTGTGACAACTCCCTTTTCCTCCTCCTTTTCTCTGTTTGAACTCCTGCAAAGCCTCAGTGTCTTAAAACACATCCAAGTGCCATTGCCCTTCTCTTGTCATGAATGCGTCCTTTCTATCTGACATCCACCTTTCTTTCCTTAGTATCCTGTGGCCATTAAAGTCGCACCGAATGGCTCTCAGGCCATGACCAAACTGAACATTGGGACTGGAATTTTGCAGGTGCAAATAATCATGGAAAATGACTTCCTAAAGTTAAAAACTCTTGGTGAACTAGCAGTCTGGAGACCATGCCCATTGGCCCCAGCTGCAGAGGCGGTGGTCCAACCTCCTCTTCAGGTTGCTTCCACCTGCCTGTGTAGTTCTCTGCTGTCTGAAGTTACTCTCTGGTCGCCCTGGTTATCAGGAGGCTTCAAGGCTGTGCTGGCTGACTGCAGATAGCATCTCAATCTATTTCCAAATCCGAGTCCCCACGAGGCACCTGTCGGGTTCTTCTCCACTTCTATTTATTTATTTATTTAAAGACAGGGTCTTGATCTGCCCCTAGGCTGGAGTGTAGTGGTGTAGTCATGGCTTGCTGCAGCCTCAACTTCCTGAGCTCAAGCCATCCTTCCGCCTCGGCCTCCCGAGTCGCTGGAGGCCACAGGTGTGCACCACCATGCCTATTTATTTACTTATTTTTGTAGAGATGGGGTCTCACTTTGTTGCCTAGGCTGGCCAACTGCTGGCCTCAATAGATCCTCTCGCCTCAGCTCCCCAAAGTGTTGGGATTACAAGCATGAGTCACCGCACCCTGTGGCTTTTTCACTTTTAACTCCCAATGCATTGCCATGCAGAAAGGCTATGCAAGATCTGAGATAAGAAAAACCCCCTCCCCAGATTATGGACCCTGCACCATGCCTTTGGCATTTGGGACCTCTCTTTCCTGATTTCTTTCTTCTTTTCTCCCCCAGGCATGGGCCATGCAGAACTTTTATTATTATTTATTTATTTATTAACTTTGAGACGGAGTCTCGCTCTGTCATCCAGCTGGAGTGCAATGGCATGATCTCGGCTCACTGCAAGCTCCGCTTCCCGGGTTCAAGTAATTCTCCTGCCTCAGCCTCCCAAGTAGCTGGGATTACAGGTGCCCGCCACCACGCCTGGCTAATTTTTTGTATTTTTAGTAGAGACAGGGTTTCACTATGTTGGCCAGGCTGGTCTCAAACTCCTGACCTCATGATCTGCCCACCTCGGCCTCCCAAAGTGCTGGGATTACAGACGTGAGCCACTGTGCCCGGCTTCAACTTTTATTATTTTTAACAATATGACTCACCATTATTGAGCACCTACTATGTGCCAGAGACTGTGCTAAGTTGTTAAAAAAATTTTTTTTAGAGATGGGGTCTTGCTATGTTGTCCAGGCTGGTCTCAAACTCCTAGCCTCAAGTGACCCTTCTGCCTCAGCCTCCCACAGTGCTGGGATTACAGGCGTAAGCCACGGCTCCTGGCCTATACTAAGTTCTTGACACCCGCTGTCTCTGTGTCCTCAGTGCACCCCAGGAAGGACCGTAGTGCTTCTGCTCCCTGCATGGGGACCTTCAGAGAAGTCCAGTAGCTCTCCTGGGACCACACATGCAGGAAGTGGCAAGGCCAGGTCTGGCTCACCCCTCTGAGGCTCCACACTGTCCCACCATTGGGTTCATTCTTTGGGTAAAATGTTGGGCTGGGTGCTGTCTGGTTCTATCAGTGGGAGAGACTGGCTTTGAAGCCATTCCCAGGCCGCCCCTGCCCCAGCGCGGGAAGTTGGCCGTTCTCTTCTGGGCTGGCGCTTCCTGAGGCAGCCAGTGCTGGAGACAACAACCATCTTTCTCCCAACATCAGTTTTTCCCTCCATTGTTTAATGACTGCGGCTCTAATCTGACTCCGTTCTGTTCTCTTTCATTGTAAATGTGTGGGGGCCCTTTAGGCGGGATGAGTAAACCAGGCTTCGGGGGGCTAGCTGGGGCACCCACAGCCATTTATACCATTGTTTATGTGGGAAAGCGGTTTCGTCATCCAAACAACAGCCTTACAAAAGAATGTTAGGAACACAATTAGTTTGTAAATTGGTCACTTCCTGTCTTTGTTGGGGTGGAGTGAGGATGGGCACAGTAGTTAGTTTTAAATACTAAATGAGATAGTACATGAAAAAAAAAAAAGCCCAAAACACAGTGATTAGGGCACTGGACCCTCTCAAAAAATTCGTAGTCACCACGACATTCTTATTATTGTTATCATCGTTTCACATGATGGTAAAATCTGTGTGGCTCAGGAAGGCAGAACAGAGACCAGTGAGTTGCAGGTGGTGACCTTCTCCTGGAGTAAAGGGCTTCCTAATCCATCAAGTCCATTCACAGTGGAGCAGACTGGCAGTGAGCTCCCCCATCCCTGAGGGTGTTCAAGCAGAGGCTTGGCCTGGGCAACAGGACCCTTGAACATTCCATCCAAATGTCGAGTTCTAGCTTCTCTCCCTCCCTCAGCAAGCCCTCAGCTGGGGCCATGCTGCCCCCCGCCCCCAACAGCCAGCACACATCGCTGCTTTGATTCTGCAAAATGGACCAAGCAGCTGCAATGGACTTGCCGGACAGCAGAGCGCAATTGCCAAAGGCAAGGACTCTGGAGCGTGGAGGTCCTGGGTTCGAATCCTGACTTTGCCACTGCCCAGGAGCTTAAACATAGGCAGGGGACTAACAGTTTCTGGGCCTGTCAAATCGGCCCAGTGAGTAGCACTGATCAGCTGAGGCTCTCGGGAGGATTACATTAGGTAAAATATGTAAAGTGCCTAGTTTGGAACAAGACTCTAGTTCCATCACCTGCCAGCAGGGCAAGTCACTCAATCTCTCTGAGTGTCACTAACTTCAGCTCTGAAGCCGGGTGGTGATGTCTTCTGAGCACAAGGTCACGGTCATCGTGATGCTGGCAGCCACTCTGGGAAATATCAGGCACAGGGTGGACCCTTGGCAGGTGGTGATTATCCCAGCCTTAGCCAAATCCATCCCCTGTGCCATGAAGCCCCCCTCAGTTTTTCTTTCTAATAACAGCTAACCCTGAGCATGTGCCATGTGCCAGGCATGGTGCTAAGCAATTTCAATACAGTAACTCACATTCTCAGTACAGCCCTGTGGAATGGGCAGTGTTGTCATAGCCGCAGCATGGAACGGGCAGGGGAGGAGTGCAGAGGAGTGCAAAGGGACTCACTCAGATTCACACAACCAGTTAAATGGCAGGGCCAGAGTCTGACTGCAAAAGTCTTGCTCAAGAGAAGATCAATCTGCAGACCCACAAGGCTGGCCAGCTAAGTGCCCTGTGTCCAGCCGTGTCCCTTTGCCACATTGGTGGTGGCCCCGGCATGCCCGACTATGGTCTGGCTGGGAGTGTAAGGTGCTCACGGGCTCAGGGAGGGCTTGGAACCTCCCTTTGTACTCACCAGCACCACGCTCTGAGCCTCCGCAGACCCCATGTAGATAGTCTCTGGGAAGTCAGTTTCTCAATCTTGACACCCACCCCCCACAGCTCAGGCTGCAAAAGCCCTGGCCTGGACAAGGTGGTGTGGCCAAGAGGTAATGTGGAGAGGGGCAGTAAGTCGGGAGGTGGCTGCTGTACCCTGGCCCTACGACCAAGGCTGTGACTTTGTGCAATCTAGCCGAGCTCTCTGAATTTCCCTTCCTCCTCTTTTTTATTGAATATATATATATTTAACACAGATGGGGTCTTGCCATGTTGCCAAGGCTGGTCTTGAACTCCTGAGCTCAAATGATCCTCCCACCTTGGCCTCCCAAAGTGCTAAGATGACAGGTGTGAGCCACCATGCCCAGCCCCTTCCTCCTCTTTTAACATGAAGAGTCACTAGAGATTTCCCAGTAGCAATTCCAACACAAACTTTCTCTCAGTTAGGACAAGAGCTAGAAATACTATTTATGTTGGTGGGAAAGTAGATTAGGACAATACAATCAAGAAGAGAGACCTTGAGCGAGGCTGAATGTAGGAAGTGGCTAAAATATTGACCAAAATTCCTCCTGAGACCTTAGAGTTCCCTTTGTAAATAAGCTGTTCCCTACCGTGAGAACTAGGGATAGGGAAGGTGAGCAGATGGGCTGAGCTGGGGCCTAGGGCAGAAGGAAGAAAGGACCAGGGGTTGTACTGTACTCAGTCTCTCTTTTCCAGAATGTCTTCAGAATCTGTCTTCTAGATTGTTCCTTCCCTGTCAGATTTTGAGGCAGAGGCTTGGCTCTCAGACCTCCTGTGGTGATGCTGTTCTAATCTGTGACTTGCTTTTGGGCCTTTGTTTCCCATTCCCTGCAATTAAAGCACACTGTCACCAAGTGGCAGTGGTGTTTCTATCTTGCCTATGTGCTCGGAAGATTTAACGGTGGCTGTGAATTCAACCAGAACTGAAGACATTGGCTTAAATTTTATTTTATTTTATTTTTATTTTTTGCGACAAGCCTTGGTCTGTTGCCCAGGCTGGAGTGCAGTGGTGTGATCATGGCTCACTGCAGCCTTGACCTCCCGGGCTCAAACAATCCTCCTGTCTCAGCCTCCCAACTAACTGGGACTACAGGTGTGTACCACTATATTCAATTAATTTTTAATTTTTTTATAGAGATGAGGTCTCACTATATTGACCAGGTTGGTCTCGAATTCCTGAGCTCAAGTGATCCTCCGGCCTCAGCCCCCTAATATGTTGGAATTACAGGCGTGAATCACCATGTCTGGCCTTTTTTTTTTTTTTTTTTTTGGTGGAAACAGAATTCTGTATTAGCATTTTGGCTGCTGCGAGTTGCCAACTCTGTTCTTAATACTGCCTGCCTTTAGGAGTCCATAGTCGCAGACCTTTTCCCTCAGATTCTCATTACATTCCTGATATAACATCATGGTAGAGATCTCTTTAGGAATGGAAAGGGGAGACTCCTTCCGTGGAGTGAAAAGCTTGTCTTTTTCCTTTGAAAAATGAGGTGAGACTTTTGATTTTTGCAAAGGCACTAGGTGGTTTGTAGCAGCCCTTCCACTGAGGACGCCCAGAGGAGCTGCACAAAACAGTCCAGTCGAAGGCCTGCCGGAAGGCACTGGAGAGCTGACGGTGGGATGAAGATCCACGCAAAGGAAACATGGGGAAAGGTGAGCTCAGCATTTGGGGTCACTTTTTCCTTGAGGGCGATTGCCAGTGTCAGAAGAGGTGGCTGAGGGCTGAGCGGTGCTTTCGCAGATTGTGAGGATAACGGAGAGAAGGTGGTGGGAGCTTGTTCCTGGCTTGCATTTTTGGTTGGGACCGCGCAGCACTACACCCGGGCATACGGGTGGACTGGAGACCTGCACCAGTCCTGGCGAGATTTGCTGCTCAGTTTCAGAGAATATCAAACTCTACAGCTGGATTTAGGATTGCCCATGCCCTCGGCACCTGGAAGAAGCCATTTGAATACCTTTCTGGAGGAAGATAGCAGCATTCTAGGTCTCATTATTTCTATTAACAATGTTTAAAATTTTAACGTCAAGCACACAATAATAGTAGCTAGGCCCAAGCAGAAACAAGACTGCACGAACGAATGCCAGGAGAGACAACAGATAACAGAAAACAGACAAGAAGAAACGGATGCCTCTCATTTTGGAAAATCAAAAAAGAAAAAAAAGAGTGAGAAATGGACAGATCCACAATTATAGTAGGAGGTTTTTATATACTTCTTGCTTCTCTCACTAACTCATAGAACAAGCAGAAATATATCAGTAGGATATACAGATTTAAATAACATGATCAGCCAACTTCAGACAGATACAACAACTACTCAGGTTACACATTTTTTTCAAGCCCACATTGGAAATTTACCAAAATGGATTCATACTGGGAAACAACTCTCAAAAACGTTTCAAAGAATTGAAATTATACAAAATATATTCTCTGACCACAATATAATTAAGTTAGAAATACTCATTAAAAAGATAACCAAGTTGGCCAGGTGCAGTGGCTCACGCCTGTAATGCCAGCACTTTGGGAGGCCGAGGTGGGTGGATCACGAGGTCAGGAAATCAAGACCACCCTGGCTAACACGGTGAAACCCCATCTCTACTAAAAATACAAAAAATTAGCTGGGTGTGGTGGCGGGTGCCTGTAGTCCCAGCTACTCTGAAGGCTGAGGCAGGAGAATGGCGTGAACCTGGGAGGCGGAGCTTGTAGTGAGTGGAGATCGCGCCACTGCACTCCAGCCTGGGTGACAGGGCGAGACTCCATCTCAAAAAAAAAAAAAAAAAAAAAAAAGATAACCAAGTCTTCAAATGTTTGGAAATTAAACAGTACTCTTTCTTTTCTTTTCTTTTTTTTTTTTTTGAGACAGAGTTTCACTCTCGTTGCCCAGGCTGGAGTGCAATGGCACAATCTTGGCTCACTGCAACCTCTGCCTCCTGGGTTCAAGTGATTCTCCTGCCTCAGCCTCCCGAGTAGCTGGGATTACAGGCATGTGCCGCCACACCTGGCTAATTTTGTATTTTTAGTAGAGACGGGGTTTCTCCATGTTGGTCAGGCTGGTCTCGAACTCCCGATCTCAGGTGGTCTGCCTGCCTTGGCCTCCCAAAGTGCTGGGATTACAGGTGTGAGCCACCATGCCCGGCCGAACAGCAGTCTTAAAAAACTCTCAGGCCTGAGAAAAAGCGTGATGGCAATTAAAATTATGTTTTGAACAAACGATAATTAAAATATTACATGTACAAACGTTGGAATGCAGTTAAAGCCATGCTTAGAGGGACAATTATGGCCTGAATGCATATGTTAGAATTGAGGAGAGATTAAAAATAAATGATCCAGGGAATTGTTTCTCTCTTTATTGCTCCGGTTTGAAAGTTGTACTGGGGAGTGTAACTTTACAGAGTGTGAAGTTATGCTATTTTTGCATCCTGCCTGATCTACGTTTAACATTTTTGCGTGGCAAAGTGTTACATCCATCACTGCGGAAGTCCTCAGCTAATTTGACATGTCAACGGCATTTAACATGGTTGTTCACCCTTCATGCTTGTAATTCTTTTTTTGTAACTCTCTGTTTGCTTGGTTTCCAGGCAGTGGGGAGCAGGACAAACTCATAATAGTTTGCAAGAGTTGACTATGTGCAAAGCTCCTGACTCCCTGTTCAGTGACGTCATGTTGGTAGCCTGAAATGGACCACAGTGGGAGTTATTTACACCATGGAAACTGGAAAACTCTACAAATCAATGCGTTTATTTCTTTATTTTCAGAGGGCAGGTTTATCAGCACACGCTGTATCTCCTCTCCTTTGCTGGTATCTCTGAATCCACCTTTAAAGCTGGTCCTTTCTCATCTCTGGGCTGCTGGAATTTGGAGGGCCCTGGGACTCAGTCCTCCAACTTTTTCTATCTGCCTGCTCCCTTGGTGACCTCACCTCAGTCTCATGTCTTTAAGCACCATCTTCACACTGATGACTTCCAAATGGATTATCTTCAGCCCCAATTTCTCCCCTGACTCCAGGCTCATAAATCCAACTGCCGACTCCAGCATTGTCAGGTTAGATTTGCAGTGCCTGTTAGAAACCAAGGTGGACACGGGGTGTGAAAGAGAACGCTCAGGGTGACTCTGAGGCTTTGGCCTGAATGATGGGAAGGATGGAATTGCTGTCAACCAAGGTAGGAGATCTGAGGGAGGAGCAGGTTGGGAAGGTTGGGGAGAGAAGCAGCTGTCTCCCCCAGAGATGTCAAAATACACGGAGGCAGTAAGGTTTAAGTATATGATTTAAAGTTGAAAGTGTGGGAAGGGTGCTTACAAGGGTTTCAGGTGGGATATCAGTGGGCAGTGATACTAGTTTAAATGTGTCTTAGCATAAGATTTAAAGAATGATAGTGAAGTAAATGCTTTCTTTTAAAGTACTTTCATTTAACAAAGCAAATCAATTAAAAAAATAAGTAGTAAGTAAATGGTAATGCAGGTAGGCACTAGAGAGATAAAGCAAAAATTGCAAAAGTGGCACAAGAATGACTGAGGGTTGATAACTCTGCAATGGAGGAACTAAACACATTAAATAAAACTGGGGGAGGTGCAGGTGGCGGCAGCTAGGTTTTAACTGACTGTCCAGCTTGGCTGTCCTGGTAGGCAGTCAACAGAGCATGATTTAAGTTGATACATGAAATAATGGTAGTTTTAGGCTTAGTATTTAAATGTATGGAGATGAACTAATTAAGGCTGTCTGCTCCCAGGGAGAGGGATTGGGGCCAATGCTTTTTATTATAAACCCTATGCTACTTGGTACTTTAAAAATTATTATTAATATACTTTATTTTTTAGAACAGTTTTAGAGTGATGGAAAAATTGAGCACTTGGTACAGGGAGTTACCTTATACCTCCTCCCCTTCCCCTACTATGAACAAGGTGACTCTGAGAAACTGTCAAAGCCCAGAGGAGCCTCAAGCACGACTAATTGTAATGTGTATCCTGGAGGAGGTCCCAGGACAGAAGAAGGACATTAGGTGAAAACTAAGGAAAACTAAATAAAGTATGGATTTTAGTTAATAACAGATCAGTATAGCTCATTAACAGTAAAAAATGCACCATGCTACCATAAAATATTAATAATAGAGGGCGCTGGCTGTATATTCCCCGGCTGTGGGATATACAGGAGCTCTCTGTGAGAGCTTTGCAGTTTTTCTGTAAGACGTTAATGAGTGTTGGGGAGGAAGCCCACAGAGGTAAGCGTCCTTCTCATCTCATCGTATCCGTGGTCAGTACTGGCACATGACTTACCACAGTGATGCTGGCCTTGACCACCTGGCATAGGTCGTGTCTCTCAGGTTGCTGTCCTGAAAGATTACTCCTTCCCCCTTTCCATCCTGAACTCTTTCAAGGATGTCACTCTGGGAAGCCCACACTTGAGGGGTGGGGTTCTATCCTTGCTTTAGAATGGAGTAGCTTCATAATTTATTTGAAATTATTCTGTATCAGAGACTTTTTCCTATTTATGAATGTATTCAATCATTTATTGATATCAGTATGGACTCAGACTCTCACCCAGGCTGGAGTGCAGTTATGCAATCATAGGTCGCTGCATCCTTGAACTCCTGGGCTCAAGTGAGCCTCCCACCTCAGTCTCCTGAGTGGCTGGGACTACAGGTGCCTGCCACAACACCCGGCTAGATATTTATTTTATACTTTGGGCTACTTGACAGTTTTTTTATTGTGGTAAAATGTATGGAACATAATATTTATGATTTTAACCATTTATTATTTCATTTTAATTAATTAATTTGTTAATAGATATGGGGTCTTGCTATGTTGCCCAGGCTGATCTCAAACTCCTGGGCTCAAGGGATCCTACCACCTCGGCCTCCCAAAGTGCTGGGATTACAGGCATGAGCTGCTGTGCCCGGCCTGATTTTAACCAGTTCAGAGGCATTTAGTGAACTCACAGTATTGCGTTACCATGCCCACCATCTATCCACAGAACTGTTTCATCTTCCCAAACTGAAGCTCTGTCCGCAATCAACTCTAACTCCCCATTCCCTCCCCAACCCCTAGCGACCACCTTTCTACTTTCTGGGCTTTTGGACTTTTGAATCGTGTGACTACATTAATGAAGATCTTGATGTCGGTTGATTTTTCCAGAAAACAAACTCTGGGGAGTGTCCTGGGGTGTGTTCTTGGGGACAGTGCCTCTGAGGGAGCAAAGGTAGCAGCATCGGCATAGCCCTCGGTGGACCCCGTGGGAACTCCGGAGCTGGGCTTTTGGGTCCCCACTTGGACCAGTCATTCCATGCCAGCTGCACCCACGGGGAAGTGGGGAGAGGCAGCTGTATTCAGCTGGCAGCAGTTCCTGGAGAGGGACATAGCCGAGAGCCAGGCCGCCAGCCCTGCTGCCACTGGGGACCAGGTCTCTGTCCTGGGGGGCTCTGGGTGCCACAGCGTCTGCCACAGTTCTCTCTGTGTGTGATGGTCTGCAGTTTCGCTGCGACGTATCCAGGTGTTGCTTTAGTTTTATTTATCAGGTTCGGGATTTTTGCTTCTCCATTTGGAGAATTTATATTTTCTTTTTTTTTTTTTTTTGAGACGGAGTCTCGCTCTGTCGCCCAGGCTGGAGTGCAGTGGCGCGATCTTGGCTCACTGCAAGCTCCGCCTCCCAGGTTCACACCATTCTCCTGCCTCAGCCTCCCGAGTAGCTGGGACTACAGGCGCCCGCCACCACGCCTGGCTAATTTTTTGTATTTTTAGTAGAGACGGGATTTCACCGTGTTAGCCAGGATGTTCTCGATCTCCTGACCTCGTGATCCGCCCACCTCGGCCTCCCAAAGTGCTGGGATTACAGGCGTGAGCCACCGTGCCCGGCCGGAGAATTTATATTTTCAATCGAGTCTGGCTGGACAGTTCTTAGCCATCGTTTTTTCAAATACATACTCTCCCCAGACCTCTGAGTTCCCCCATTCGGGAATCCTGGTCGATGCGGGGAGAGCATTTTCCTTCTCTCCTCGACGTGGGGTCTCTTTTCCATAGTTTCCGTCTCCTTGCTGTGCTGGACCTGTTTCTGTGTGCTGCATTCAGAGTTTTCAGCTGCCTTTCACTTATGTTTAGATAAACTTCTTATTTTAGAGCACTTTTAGATTTACAGAAAAGTTGCAGCGATGGTACAGAGAGTTCCCATAGACGCCACACCTAGTTTCCCCTGGTGTTAATGTCTTCTCTTACTGTGGTGCGGTTGAGCCAGCCGAGGCCGATGCAGTGTAACTGAAGTCCATGCCTCATTCAGGCTTCCCCATTTTACCCAGTGGCCCCAGGATCCCGTGCAGGGCTCCCCATCGCATTTAGTCTTCCCCTTAGGCTCTTCTCTTGGCTGTGACAGTTTCTCAGACTTTCCATGTTTTGGATGGCCTTGACAGTTCGGGGCAGTACAGTCAGGCATTCTATAGCATGTCCCTCTGTCGGAAAAAACAGGTGTTTTTCTCCTGGTTAGACCGGGATTGTTTGTTGGGGGAGGATGCCCGCAGAGGTAAGCGCCCTGCCCATCACATCCTAGCAAGGGCACCTGCTGTCAACATGACTCAGCGCCTGCGCGGGTGAGTCTGCCTTGGTCAGGTTTCTTGTTTACAAAGTTGCTTTTTTCTCTGTTTCCGTGCTGTGCTCCCTGGAAGGAAGTCTCCATGTGCAGCCCACACTGAGGGTGAGTGGGGAGATCGGGGGTGGGGTTGGGTTCCACCTTCTTGATGCCCCTGCCACTTTTGGCTCTAATGAATATTCCTTTTTTTTTTTTTTTGCAAGCCCTGCTGTGTATTTAAAAAGATACTTAACATACTTTAACCATTTCTAGGAAATACAAGGCCACTCATGACTGTGTGACCTGGGCAGGCTACTTAACCTCTGTGTCTCAGTTTCCTTATCTGGGAAACAGGCTGATATTCCCACCACACAGGGCTGTCGCTGGCTGGCACATGGAACGTTCAGAACGGTGTCTGGTTGTAGTAAGTGCTATGTAAGTGGCAGCTGTCATTAGAATGATGACTGCATGCTGCCCACTATCCTTTTGCCAGAAATGGAATTCCCATATACTTTTTTGATTTAACATTATTTATTTATTTATTTGAGATGGAGTCTCACTCTGTCACCCGGGCTGGAGTGCAGTGGCACAATCTTGGCTCACTACAACCTCCGCCTCCTGGGTTCAAGTGATTTTCCTGCCTCAACCTCCCGAGTAGCTGGGATTACAGGTGCCCGTCACGATGCCCAACTAATTTTTAAAATTTTTTAAGCAGAGACGGGGGTTTCACCATGTTGGCCAGGTTGGTCTCGAACTCCTGACCTCGTGATTCACTCACCCGGGCCTCCCAATGTGCTGGGATTATAGGTGTGAGCCACCGCGCCCAGTCAATTTGACATTATTTTTAAAAGGATGGTGATGGCCGGGCACAGTGGCTCACGCCTGTAATCGCAGCACTTTGGGAGGCTGAAGCGGGTGGATCATGAGGTCAGGAGATGAGACCATCCTGGCTAACACGGCGAAACCCCATCTCTACTAAAAATACAAAAAATTAGCCGGGTGTGGTGGCGGGTGCCTGTAGTCCCAGCTACTAGGGAGGCTGAGGCAGGAGAATGGCGTGAACCCGGGAGGCGGAGCTTGCAGTGAGCCAAGATCGCGCCACTGCACTCCAGCCTGGGGGACAGAGCGAGACTCTGTCTCAAAAAAAAAAAAAAAAAAAGGGTGGTGACACCACGGGGTTGTGTGGCTACACACAGAAGCCTGGGGCAACAGCAAGACGGCAGCAGCCATGGCGAGGCAGAAGAGTCAACGCCAGCCCAGGAAGCATCAGGAAGTCCACATCAGGGGAGTGAGATGGACAGGTAGGGCAGGTGGTCAAACAGTTAGCCAGGTGCAGCCCAGATGGGCATGCTAGAGAGGATACCATGCCAGGAGGGGGCCGGTGGGAACCAGTGGGTTTCTTGAACACCGGACTGGACTTCTTTTGGGTGCCAGAGATCAAGGAAGGTGGAACATTCTAGAGGCCTGAGACCCAGTTGGCTGCCCTCACACTGGACAGACAAGGAAGTTGCCCTGTAACCCTCACCAGAAGCCTGGAGATAATTTTAGAGGCCTGCCTGGAGTTTGAAGAACGCTCCTGGTATTGCGGGCTGAGC
This sequence comes from Homo sapiens, assembly GCF_000001405.40. Classification (NCBI taxonomy): domain Eukaryota; kingdom Metazoa; phylum Chordata; class Mammalia; order Primates; family Hominidae; genus Homo; species Homo sapiens. The sequence goes on along the minus strand of NC_000003.12, from coordinate 128,558,114 downwards.
TCTCATTGGTTCTAGCACTGAGCACAGCTGTGTGCGGGTGGCTGGTGGCTCATTGCACGGTGGAGCCAGATGGGGTGGGGCCTTGGGTGACCCACAGCATCAATGCCAGATAGCTGCTGCGTAGGTTGTCCCAGCATCTGTCCCCAGCCCTCTGCTCCCTTGGTGCCTTTCACTATAGAGGCTGACAGCCAAATACTTCCCAGACTTCACTATAGCTAGGGGTGGCATGTGGCTCATTTTTGACCCATGATATATTAGCAGATATCTTCTGGGCATAGCTTTTAAAAAGCCTTTCTTTCCTGACAGAAAGAGAGGGACTCAGCTGGTGCAACCCTTCCCCTTTCCTCTTTCTCCTTGCTTTGAACATGGATCTAATGGCAGGAGCTAAGGCAGCCATCTTGTGACCATGAGGAAAGAGACTGACAGCAGTTTCAGCCGGGCATGCCTCAGCCATTGAACAGCACCTTAGATTTCTCACGTGAGAAAAATAAATTCCTGTTTGTTTAAATCACTGAAGTAGTTTTTTGGTTATTTTTTTGACTGAAAACAACCTTAACTGTACCTTAGTCTATAGTCAACCTGGCCACCATGATGACCCTCCTAACACATAGATATAGGCATGATGCGCTCCCTCTTCTGCTCAAAATCCTTCCTTTGGAAGATGTCTTTGTCCTCTATCAGACTGCAAGGATACTCCCTGCTTGTAGAAGGTATAGAGAAGCAATTCCTAGCATTCACAGCTAGGTACAACACTTTGGGGAAATAATTGGCAATAGCTTTGCAACTTAAGGATGCTCATAACCTTCTTGCCACTAACCCCATGGAGCTGGTGGAGCAAGGCTTCCTCACACGGGGGCCCAGCCCAGAGCTGCACCTCACACCGGCTGGGGAAGCTGGGAACGCAGAGCTGTGGGCCTGTCCCCACCAAGGCCTGCACTTTCGTGACCGGTGGCCATGGGTTTCCACCCAGCTGGACGGGGCTGCAGCTGGGCCCTCCTGACAGTAATGAAGAGCCTGGTGACCTGCTTGCTGCCACAGCCCCGCGGCAGGAAACATTCCAGGAGCACCTGTTTCCTGAGGACCCTGTCAGGGGCTCCCGGGCACCATCTGGGCCCTGCCCCACATGTTGTTTGCATTAGGACTTTAGAAAAACAATTCAACTTTGAGTAACGGCGCTTTAAGTTTTTCAGGCGCATCCCAAAGTCTCACCCCTGCCCCACTCTCTAGTTCCTCACCAGCTCTTCTCAGGAGGTTTCTAGACTATCACACACACAACACACACTCTCACACACACACACACATCTACACATGACGCAGTCTTACAACTCACACACCACACCCACACACGCTCAGAACACACTCAGATGCACATTCATACAGACACTCTCATACTCTCACACACATGCACACCACACCGGCACGCAGTTTTGGGCAACAACCTACTTTCCTCTAAAAATTGGGTCCTAAGAATGCGTGTGGTTCAGCGTCTGTGACCGTGGGCCCTGGGCCAAGATGCCAGGGTCTCATCCAGTTGTCAGTGACCTGGCTCTGGGCACCGTGTCCACCTCTCCCTGCTACCTTCGCCCCCTTGTTAGAGAGGGCAAGGCGGCTGCTGCTGGCACCTGCATGTAGGTGAGGAGTTAGAGCAGTGCCTAGTGCAGAGTAAGTGCTGGATGTGGTTGTTTTTAAAAATTCCAACCGAAGTAACAGCACAAGGCAGTACTGAAATTAATGTGCTTTCCCTCCAGAGTGTTCTGGTTCCATCATTCCGCTTCAGTTCTCCAAAGCGGAAAGGCTCTTTTCTCAGGGATGCTTTGCTTTACTGCACCGAAGTGGGAGTCTCTGGTCTCCTTTAGAGCAGGAAGCTGAAGCCCAGAGAGGGTAAACTGCTCTCCTGATGTCACATGGCCTGCCAGGGCTGGGGCAGGGGCTGGGGTAGGGACAGGTTTCAGAGTGTCCATTGGGGGCCATCCAGAGACCACCCTCGCTCAGTGTCCAGTAGGTTGCCATTGAGGGCTAGGTGGGAGGGAGAGGCGGGAACTTGGTGGGGTGGTCTCTGCTGCAGACAGCCTGCACGGCCGCAGGAAATGGGTGGCTTCCGCGAAGCCCCCCAGCTGGAGTTGACACAGCCTGTCCAGCTGGACCTGGCCCAGTTTCCAGGCGGCTCCAGGGGCGGGGGGCGCTGGGGGGACTGTGGCGCCGGTGGGTGGGGGGTGCCCGGGGGAGGGTGGCGGGCATGTGGGGCAATGCCCAGCGCCGCAGCCGCTGCGGGCTTCCTGAGGCCTGGCTCTGGCCTGCCCCGGGCGCCCCCCCCTCACAGGTCCGATGGCTCTAGCAGCGCTGCCATCTGAGAACAAAGCGTCCTGCAGGAATTCCGGCCGGGTAAGGCGATGCATTGTGGAGCCGGGCGCCATGCCCGGCCACTCCCCACCCCCACCCGGGGGCTTGGAGTCACCCCCAGCGCTGAGGATGGCAAGAAACCCAGTCCTCGGCCCGTCCCCGAATGCCACAGCTGCGTGGATGCTCAGGTCACCTCTCCCCTTCCTGTCCTCAAAAGTGCCTGCCGCGGACGCGCCCCGAGGGGGCGGACGGGGCGCTTCCTGGCGGGGCGGCCGCGGGCCGGGCCAAGCCCCAGCCTGTTACAGGAGCGAAGGCTTCCTTCCTGAAAAACACGCCGGGTGCCCCGGCCTCCGCCGGTCTCTCCGCAGCGCCCGCGGCCGCCGCGCGCACCCTGGCCGCCCGAGGCAGGGCGCACAGGATCGAGGTGGGGGACGGCCCGGCTCGCGCCCTGGAACGGCAGCCCCGCCTTGGCTCTTGACTCTCGGCCCGGTTTTCTCGTGCGTAGATGAGGCTCTTTCCCATGCCCCTTCTGCGGCTGGCTCTGCGCGGAAAGCATCCTGAATCCGGCCCCTGAGCCCAATCCCCTGGGCCTCAGGGTCCCCGTCCCCGCTGCCCCTCCCGGGACTCCTGCCTTCCGCCCAGGCCACAGCCTCCCCTCCACACGCAGCCGGCAGGGTATCGTTCACACCAAGCCTCCCCTCTATTCGAGCCTTCCCAAGGATGCCAGCCCTCCCCTCCCCTCTGACCTCACTCCCTCACCGGCCACGGCGCCCCCAACCCTGAGGCTCCTCAAACCCACAGGCCCTCTAGCTGTGCAAGGCTGCGCCCCCAGGAGTGATTCCTGGGTCTTCAAGTGCTGCCTTTAAATAACCCTCCTCTGCCCTCAGCGGTCTCGGGGTCTTGGGAGGCACTCCCTGCCTCCACACCGTGGCTTATTTCGCCTGCTTCACTGGGGACGCCGGGACACTTAGAACAAGGCCTGGCGCTCAGAAGGTGCTTGATACACAGTCATTGCCCTCGTGGATGAGGAGTGCCCGTCCTGCCGTTGTCGGTATGGGCTGAGGGGTCACGAGTAAAGTGCTCAATCTGACAGGAGCTCGGAGCCTCCGTGACTGCTAATTCTTAGCAGCAGTGGCGCTGCGGTGTAGGTGCCCCTTTGCTGTAAGTCTCCGGTGGACCAGCATCCGCTCCCTCTTCTTTTGACATTCACCTTCATTCGCTCACCCACTCTTAGCCCGTGTGATTTGACTGCGGCTGACCCCATCACGCCCTAATGGGGGTCACCTCAGCCATACCTAGTCAATCCTTGCATTCCTTTGCCCACAGCAGCTGACTCGGAGATGGGTATGACCATAGTCAACCAGAGGCATTGCCTGTTTCTCCATGGCCTCAGGGCTGAGCAGAGGTAAGGCCTGGAACTGCTGCAGCCATCCTGCCACCAGGAGGAGAGTGCGGTCATCTGAGGAGGTGGGCTGAGCTCCAAGACAGAAGCTAGCGCTGGCTGACCAGTTGTGTTTAGGCCCCAGTGACTCAGAGCCTACCCGTGTCTGGGTTTTTCCAGCTACCTATATCAACAATGCTCATTTCAGTTAAGACAGTTCTGTTGGGTCACTGCCACCTGCCACCAGAAAAGTCCTGTTTGACCTAGAATCTGACCTGAAATCCTTACCTTCTCTCCCTCTCATCTGGGTGGACCTGCTTGGTCCTCTCTGGTCT